>NC_000022.11:14185243-14419454 GCF_000001405.40 Homo sapiens
GCTGGAAAGAAGCATTCTGTGAAACTTGTTTGTGATGTGTGTACTCAACTAACAGAGTTGAACCTTTCTTTTTACAGAGCAGTTTTGAAATACTCTTTTTGTAGAATCTGCGAGGGGATATTTGGATAGATTTCAGGATTTCGTTGGAAACGGGAATATCTTCATATAAAATCTCGACAGAAGCATTCTCAGAAACTTCTTTGTGATATGTGCATTCAAGTTACAGAGTTGAATATTCCCTTTCACAGAGTAGGTTTGAAACACTCTTTTTGTAGTATCTGGAAGTGGACATTTGGAGCGCCTTGACGCCTACGGTGAAAAGGGAAATATCTTCTCATAAAAAGTAGACAGAAGCAATCTCAGAATCTTCTTTGGGATATATGCACGCAGCTAACAGAGTTGAACCTTTCTATTGACAGAGCAGTTTTGAAACAGTCTTTCTGTGGAATCTGCAAGTGGATATTGGGAATGCTTGGAGGATTTCGTTGGAAACGGGATTACGTATAAAAAGTAGACAGCAGCATCCTCCGAAACTTCTTTGTGATGTGTGCATTCAAGTCACAGAGTTGAACATTCCCTTTCGTACAGCAGTTTGGAAACACTCTTTCTGTAGTATCTGGAAGTGAACATTAGGACAGCTTTCAGGTCTATGGTGAGAAAGGAAATATCTTCAAATAAAAACTAGACAGAAGCATTCTCATAAACTTGTTTGTGATGTGTGAACTCAGCTAACAGAGGTGGATCTTTCCTTTGATAGAGCAGTTCTGAAAAACACTTTTTGTTGAATCTGCAAGTGGACATCTGGATAGATTTGAAGATTTCGTTGGAAACGGGAATATCTTCATATCAAATCTAGACAGAAGCATTCTCAGAAACGTCTTTGTGATGTTTGCATTCAACTCATAGAGTTGAACATTCCCTTTCAGAGAGCAGCTTTGAAGCACTCTTTTTGTAGCATGTGCAAGTGGATATTTGGAGCGCTCTGAGGCCTACGGTGAAAAAGCAAATATCTTCCCATAACCACTAGACAGAAACATTCTCAGAAACTCCTTTATGACGTGTGCACTCACCTAACAGAGAAGAACCTTCCTTTTGACAGAGCAGTTTTGATACACTCTTTTTGTAGAATCTGCAAGTGGATATTTGGATAGCTGTGAAGATTTCGTTGGAAACTGGAATATCTTCCTATAAAATCTAGACAGAAGCATTCTCAGAAACTGCTCTGTGATGTCTGCATTCAAGTCACAGAGTTGAACATTGCCTTTCATAGAGCAGGTTTGAAACGCTCTTTTTGTAGTATAGGGAAGTGGATGTTTCGGACGGTTGGAGGCCCATGGTGATAAAGGGAATATCTTCCCCTGCAAGCTAGAAAGAAGCATTGTGTGAAACTTGTTTGTGATGTGTGTACTCAACTAACAGAGTTGAACCTTTCTTTTCACAGAGCAGTTTTGAAACACTCTTTTTGTAGAATCTGCGAGGGGATATTTGGATAGATTTCAGGATTTCGTTGGAAACGGGAATATCTTCATATAAAATCTCGACAGAAGCATTCTCAGAAACTTCTTTGTGATATGTGCATTCAAGTCACAGAGTTGAATATTCCCTTTCACAGAGTAGGTTTGAAACACTCTTTTTGTAGTATCTGGAAGTGGACATTTGGAGCGCCTTGACGCCTACGGTGAAAAGGGAAATATCTTCCCATAAAAACTAGACAGCAGCAATCTCAGAATCTTCTTTGGGATATATGCACGCAGCTAACAGAGTTGAACCTTTCTATTGACAGAGCAGTTTTGAAACAGTCTTTCTGTGGAATCTGCAAGTGGATATTTGGATAGCTTGGAGGATTTCGTTGGAAACGGGATTACGTATAAAAAGTAGAGAGCAGCATCCTCAGAAACTTCTTTGTGATGTGTGCATTCAAGTCACAGAGTTGAACATTCCCTTTCGTACAGCAGTTTTGAAACACTCTTTCTGTAGTATCTGGAAGTGAACATTAGGACAGCTTTCAGGTCTTTGGTGAGAAAGGAAATATCTTCAAATAAAAACTAGACAGAAGCATACTCATAAACTTGTTTGTGATGTGTGAACTCAGCTAACAGAGGTGGATCTTTCTTTTGATAGAGCAGTTCTGAAAAACACTTTTTGTTGAATCTGCAAGTGGACATTTGGATAGATTTGAAGATTTCGTTGGAAACGGGAATATCTTCATATCAAATCTAGACAGAAGCATTCTCAGAAACGTCTTTGAGATGTTTGCATTCAACTCATAGAGTTGAACATTCCGTTTCAGAGAGCAGCTTTGAAGCACTCTTTTTGTACTATGTGCAAGTGGATATTTGGAGCGCTCTGAGGCCTACGGTGAAAAAGCAAATATCTTCCCATAACCACTAGACAGAAACATTCTCAGAAATTCCTTTATGACGTATGCACTCACCTAAAAGAGAAGAACCTTCCTTTTGACAGAGCAGTTTTGATACACTCTTTTTGTAGAATCTGCAAGTGGATATTTGGATAGCTGTGAAGATTTCGTTGGAAACGGGAATATCTTCCTATAAAATCTAGACAGAAGCATTCTCAGAAACTGCTCTGTGATGTCTGCATTCAAGTCACAGAGTTGAACATTGCCTTTCCTAGAGCAGGTTTGAAACGCTCTTTTTGTAGTATATGGAAGTGGACGTTTCGGACGGTTTGAGGCCCATGGTGACAAAGGGAATATCTTCCCCTACAAGCTAGAAAGAAGCATTCTGTGAAACTTGTTTGTGATGTGTGTACTCAACTAAGAGAGTTGAACCTTTCTTTTCACAGAGCAGTTTTGAAACACTCTTTTTGTAGAATCTGCGAGGGGATATTTGGATAGATTTCAGGATTTCGTTGGAAACGGGAATATCTTCATATAAAATCTCGACAGAAGCATTCTCAGAAACTTCTTTGTGATATGTGCATTCAAGTCACAGAGATGAATATTCCCTTTCACAGAGTAGGTTTGAAACACTCTTTTTGTAGTATCTGGAAGTGGACATTTGGAGCGCCTTGACGCCTACGGTGAAAAGGGAAATATCTTCCCATAAAAACTAGACAGAAGCAATCTCAGAATTTTCTTTGGGATATATGCACATAGCTAACAGAGTTGAACCTTTCTTTTTACAGAGCAGTTTTGAAACACTCTTTTTGTAGAATCTGCAAGTGGATATTTGGATAGCTTGGAGGATTTCGTTGGAAACGGGATTACGTATAAAAAATAGACGGCAGCATCCTCAGAAACTTCTTTGTGATGTGGGCATTCAAGTCACAGAGTTGAACATTCCCTTTCGTACAGCAGTTTTGAAACACTCTTTCTGTAGTATCTGGAAGTGAACATTAGGACAGCTTTCAGGTCTATGGTGAGAAAGGAAATACCTTCAAATAAAAACTAGACAGAAGCATTCTCATAAACTTGTTTGTGATGTGTTAACTCAGCTAAGAGACGTGGATCTTTCTTTTGATAGAGCAGTTCTGAAAAACACATTTTGTTGAATCTGCAAGTGGACATTTGGATAGATTTGAAGATTTCGTTGGAAACGGGAATATCTTCATATCAAATCTAGACAGAAGCATTCTCAGAAACGTCTTTGTGATGTTTGCATTCAACTCATAGAGTTGAACATTCCGCTTCAGAGAGCAGCTTTGAGGCACTCTTTTTGTAGTATGTGCAAGTGGATATTTGGAGCGCTCTGAGGCCTACGGTGAAAAAGCAAATATCTTCCCATAACCACTAGACAGAAACATTCTCAGAAACTGCTTTATGACGTATGCACTCACCTAACAGAGAAGAACCTTCCTTTTGACAGAGCAGTTTTGATACACTCTTTTTGTAGAATCTGCAAGTGGATATTGGGATAGCTGTGAAGATTTCGTTGGAAACGGGAATATCTTCCTATAAAATCTAGACAGAAGCATTCTCAGAAACTGCTCTGTGATGTCTGCATTCAAGTCACAGAGTTGAACATTGCCTTTCATAGAGCAGGTTTGGAATGCTCTTTTTGTAGTATATGGAAGTGGACGTTTCAGACGGTTTGAGGCCCATGGTGATAAAGGGAATATCTTCCCCTACAAGCTAGAAAGAAGCATTCTGTGAAACTTGTTTGTGATGTGTGTACTCAACTAACAGAGTTGAACCTTTCTTTTTACAGAGCAGTTTTGAAACACTCTTTTTGTAGAATCTGCGTGGGGATATTTGGATAGATATCAGGATTTCCTTGGAAACGGGAATATCTTCTTTTAAAATCTCGGCAGAAGCATTCTCAGAAACTTCTTTGTGATATCTGCATTCAAGTCACAGAGTTGAATATTCCCTTTCACAGAGTAGGTTTGAAATACTCTTTTTGTAGTATCTGGAAGTGGACATTTGGAGCGCCTTGACACCTAAAGTGAAAAGGTAAATATCTTCCCATAAAAACTAGACAGAAGCAATCTCAGAATATTCTTTGGGATATATGCACGCAGCTAACAGAGTTAAACCTTTCTATTGACAGAGCAGTTTTGAAACAGTCTTTCTGTGGAATCTGCAAGTGGATATTTGGATAGCTTGGAGGATTTCGTTGGAAACGGGATTACGCATAAAAAGTAGACAGCAGCATCCTCAGAAACTTCTTTGTGATGTGTGCATTCAAGTCACAGAGTTGAACATTCCCTTTCGTACAGCAGTTTTGAAACACTCTTTCTGTAGTATCTGGAAGTGAACATTAGGACAGCTTTCATCTCTATGGTGAGAAAGGAAATATCTTCAAATAAAAACTAGACAGAAGCATTCTCATAAACTTGTTTGTGATGTGTGAACTCAGCTAACAGAGGTGGATCTTTCTTTTCATAGAGCAGTTCTGAAAAACACCTTTTGTTGAATCTGCAAGTGGACATTTGGATAGATTTGAAGATTTCGTTGGAAACGGGAATATCTTCATATCAAATCTAGACAGAAGCATTCTCAGAAACGTCTTTGTGATGTTTGCATTCAACTCATAGATTTGAACATTCCCTTTCAGAGAGCAGCTTTGAAGCACTCTTTTTGTAGTATGTGCAAGGGGATATTTGGAGCTCTCTGAGGCCTAAGGTGAAAAAGCAAATATCTTCCCATAACCACTAGACAGAAACATTCTCAGAAACTTCTTTATGACGTATGTACTCAACTAGCAGAGAAGAACTTTCCTTTTGACAGAGCACTTTTGATACATTCTTTTTGTAGTATCTGCAAGTGGATATTTGGATAGCTGTGAAGATTTCGTTGGAAACGGCAATATCTTCCTATAAAGTCTGGACAGAAGCATTCTCAGAAACTGCTCTGTGGTGTCTGCATTCAAGTCACAGAGTTGAACATTGCCTTTCATAGAGCAGGTTTGAAACGCTCTTTTTGTAGTATATGGAAGTGGATGTTTCGGACGGTTGGAGGCCCATGGTGATAAAGGGAATATCTTCCCCTACAAGCTAGAAAGAAGCATTCTGTGAAACTTGTTTGTGATGTGTGTACTCAACTAACGGAGTTGAACCTTTCTTTTTACAGAGCAGTTTTGAAACACTCTTTTTGTAGAATCTGCGAGGGGATATTTGGATAGATTTCAGGATTTCGTTGGAAACGGGAATATCTTCATAGAAAATACTCGACAGAAGCATTCTCAGAAGCTTCTTTGTGATATGTGCATTCAAGTCACAGAGTTGAATATTCCCTTTCACAGAGTAGGTTTGAAACATTCTTTTTGTAGTATCTGGAAGTGGACATTTGGAGCACCTTGACGCCTACGGTGAAAAGGGAAATATCTTCTCATGAAAAGTAGACAGAAGCAATCTCAGAATCCTCTTTGGGATACATGCACCCAGCTAAGAGAGTTGAACCTTTCTATTGACCGAGCAGTTTTGAAACAGTCTTTCTGTGGAATCTGCAAGTGGATATTTGGATAGCTTGGAGGATTTCGTTGGAAACAGGATCACGTATAAAAAGTAGACAGCAGCATCCTCAGAAACTTCTTTGTGATGTGTGCATTCAAGTCACAGAGTTGAACATCACCTTTCGTACAGCAGTTTTGAAACACTCATTCTGTAGTATCTGGAAGTGAACATTGGGATAGCTTTCAGGTCTATGGTGAGAAAGGAAATATCTTCAAATAAAAACTAGACAGAAGCATTTTCATAAACTTGTTTGTGATGTGTGAACTCAGCTAACAGAGGTGGATCTTTCTTTTGATAGAGCAGTTCTGAAAAACACTTTTTGTTGAATCTGCAAGTGGACATTTGGATAGATTTGAAGATTTCGTTGGAAACGGGGATATCTTCATATCAAATACTAGACAGAAGCATTCTCGGAAACGTCTTTGTGATGTTTGCATTCAACTCATAGAGTTGAACATTCCGTTTCAGAGAGCAGCTTTGAGGCACTCATTTTGTAGTATGTGCAAGTGGATATCTGGAGCGCTCTGAGGCCTTCGGTGAAAAAGCAAATATCTTCCCATAACCACCAGAAAGAAACATTCTCAGAAACTCCTTTATGACGTATGCACTCACCTAACAGAGAAGAACCTTCCTTTGGACAGAGCAGTTTTGATACATACTTTTTGTAGAATCTGAAAGTGGATATTTGGATAGCTGTGAAGATTTCGTTGGAAACGGGAATATCTTCCTATAAAATCTAGACAGAAGCATTCTCAGAAAGTGCTCTGTGATGTCTGCATTCAAGTTACAGAGTTGAACATTGCCTTTCATAGAGCAGGTTTGAAACACTCTTTTTGTAGTATATGGAAGTGGACGTTTCGGACGGTTTGAGGCCCATGGTGATAAAGGGAATATCTTCTCCTACAAGCTAGAAAGAAGCATTGTGTGAAACTTGTTTGTGATGTGTGTACTCAACTAACAGAGTTGAACCTTTCTTTTCACAGAGCAGTTTTGAAACACTCTTTTTGTAGAATCTGCGAGGGGATATTTGGATAGATTTCAGCATTTCGTTGGAAACGGGAATATCTTCATATAAAATCTCGACAGAAGCATTCTCAGAAACTTCTTTGTGATATCTGCATTCAAGTCACAGAGTTGAATATTCCCTTTCACAGAGTAGGTTTGAAACACTCTTTTTGTAGTATCTGGAAGTGGACATTTGGAGCGCCTTGACGTCTACGGTGAAAAGGGAAATATCTTCCCATAAAAACTAGACAGAAGCAATCTCAGAATCTTCTTTGGGATATATGCACGCAGTTAACAGAGTTGAAACTTTCTATTGACAGAGCAGTTTTGAAACAGTCTTTCTGTGGAATCTGCAAGTGGATATTTGGATAGCTTGGAGGATTTCGTTGGAAACGGGATTACGTATAAAAAGTAGACAGCAGCATCCTCAGGAAACTTCTTTGTGATGTGTGCATTCAAGTCACAGAAGTTGAACATTCCCTTTCGTACAGCAGTTTTGAAATACTCTTTCTGTAGTAACTGGAAGTGAACATTAGGACAGCTTTCAGGTCTATGGTGAGAAAGGAAATATCTTCAAATAAAAACTAGACAGAAGCATTCTCATAAACTTGTTTGTGATGTGTGAACTCAGCTAACAGAGGTGGATCTTTCTTTTGATAGAGCAGTTCTGAAAAACACTTTTTGTTGAATCTGCAAGTGGACATTTGGATAGATTTGAAGATTTCGTTGGAAACGGGAATAACTTCATATCAAATCTAGACAGAAGCATTCTCAGAAACGTCTTTGTGATGTTTGCATTCAACTCATAGAGTTGAACATTCCGTTTCAGAGAGCAGCTTTGAAGCACTCTTTTTGTAGTATGTGCAAGTGGATATTTGGAGCGCTGTGAGGCCTACGGTGAAAAAGCAAATATCTTCCCATAACCACTAGACAGAAACATTCTCAGAAACTCCTTTATGACGTATGCACTCACCTAACAGAGAAGAACCTTCCTTTTGACAGAGCAGTTTTGATACACTCTTTTTGTAGAATCTGCAAGTGGATATTTGGATAGCTGTGAAGATTTCGTCGGAAACGGGAATATCTTCCCATAAAATCTAGACAGAAGCATTCTCAGAAACTGCTCTGTGATGTCTGCATTCAAGTCACAGAGTTGAACATTGCCTTTCATAGAGCAGGTTTGAAACGCTCTTTTTGTAGTATATGGAAGTGGACGTTTCAGACGGTTTGCGGCCCATGGTGTTAAAGGGAATATCTTCCCCTACAAGCTAGAAAGAAGCATTCTGTGAAACTTGTTTGTGATGTGTGTACTCAACTAAGAGAGTTGAACCTTTCTTTTTACAGAGCAGTTTTGAAACACACTTTTTGTAGAATCTGCGAGGGGATATTTGGATAGATTTCAGGATTTCGTTGGAAACGGGAATATCTTCATTTAAAATCTCGACAGAAGCATTCTCAGAAACTTCTTTGTGATATCTGCATTCAAGTCACAGAGGTGAATATTCCCTTTCACAGAGTAGGTTTGAAACACTCTTTTTGTAGTATCTGGAAGTGGACATTTGGAGCGCCTTGACGCCTACGGTGAAAAGGGAAATATCTTCCCATAAAAACTAGACAGAAGCAATCTCAGAATCTTCTTTGGGATATATGCACGCAGCTAACAGAGTTGAACCTTTCTATTGACAGAGCAGTTTTGAAACAGTCTTTCTGTGGAATCTGCAAGTGGATATTTGGATAGATTGGAGGATTTCGTTGGAAACGGGATTACGTATCAAAAGTAGACAGCAGCATGCTCAGAAACTTCTTTGTGATGTGTGCATTCAAGTCACAGAGTTGAACATTCCCTTTCGTACAGCAGTTTTGAAACACTCTTTCTGTAGTATCTGGAAGTGAACATTAGGACAGCTTTCAGGTCTATGGTGAGAAAGGAAATATCTTCAAATAAAAACTAGACAGAAGCATTCTCAAAAACTTGTTTGTGATGTGTGAACTCAGCTAACAGAGGTGGATCTTTCTTTTGATAGAGCAGTTCTGAAAAACACGTTTTGTTGAATCTGCAAGTGGACATTTGGATAGATTTGAAGATTTCGTTGGAAACGGGAATATCGTCATATCAAATCTAGAAAGAAGCATTCTCAGAAACGTCTTTGTGATGTTTGCATTCAACTCATAGAGTTGAACATTCCCTTTCAGAGAGCAGATTTGAAGCACTCTTTTTGTAGTATGTGCAAGGGGATATATGGAGCGCTCTGAGGCCTAAGGTGAAAAAGCAAATATCTTCCCATAACCACTAGACAGAAACATTCTCAGAAACTCCTTTATGACGTATGTACTCAACTAACAGAGGAGAACCTTCCTTTTGACAGAGCAGTTTTGATACACTCTTTTTGTAGAATCTGCAAGTGGATATTTGGATAGCTTGGAAGATTTCGTTGGAAAAGGGAATATCTTCCTATAAAACCTAGACAGAAGCATTCTCAGAAACTGCTCTGTGATGTCTGCATTCAAGTCACAGAGTTGAACATTGCCTTTCATAGAGCAGGTTTGAAACGCTCTTTTTGTAGTATATGGAAGTGGATGTTTCGGACGCTTGGAGGCCCATGGTGATAAAGGGAATATCTTCCCCTACAAGCTAGAAAGAAGCATTCTGTGAAACTTGTTTGTGATGTGTGTACTCAACTAACAGAGTTGAACCTTTCTTTTTACAGAGCAGTTTTGAAACACCCTTTTTGTAGAATCTGCGAGGGGATATTTGGATAGATTTCAGGATTTCGTTGGAAACGGGAATATCTTCATATAAAATCTCGACAGAAGCATTCTCAGAAACTTCTTTGTGATATGTGCATTCAAGTCACAGAGTTGAATATTCCCTTTCACAGACTAGGTTTGAAAAACCCTTTTTGTAGTAGTCTGGAAGTGGACATTTGGAGCGCCTTGACGCCTACGGTGAAAAGGGAAATATCTTCTCATAAAAAGTAGACAGAAGCAATCTCAGAATCTTCTTTGGGATATATGCACGCAGCTAACAGAGTTGAACCTTTCTATTGACAGAGCAGTTTTGAAACAGTCTTTCTGTGGAATCTGCATGTGGATATTTGGATAGCTTGGAGGATTTCGTTGGAAACGGGATTACGTATAAAAAGTAGACAGCAGCATCCTCAGAAACTTCTTTGTGATGTGTGCATTCAAGTCACAGAGTTGAATATTCCCTTTCGTACAGCAGTTTTGAAACACTCTTTCTGTAGCATCTGGAAGTGAACATTAGAACAGCTTTCAGGTCTATGGTGAGAAAGGAAATATCTTCAAATAAAAACTAGACAGAAGCATTCTCATAAACTTGTTTCTGATGTGTGAACTCAGCTAACAGACGTGGATCTTTCTTTTGATACAGCAGTTTTGAAAAACACTTTTTGTTGAATCTGCAAGTGGACATTTGGATAGATATGAAGATTTCGTTGGAAACGGGAATATCTTCATATCAAATCTAGACAGAAGCATTCTCAGCAAACGTCTTTGTGATGTTTGCATTCAACTCATAGAGTTGAACATTCCGTTTCAGAGCAGCAGCTTTGAAGCACTCTTTTTGTAGTATGTGCAAGTGGATATTTGGATCGCTGTGAGGCCTAAGGTGAAAAAGCAAATATCTTCCCATAACCACTAGACAGAAACATTCTCAGAAACGCCTTTATGACGTATGCACTCACCTAACAGAAAAGAACCTTTCTTTTGACAGAGCAGTTTTGATACACTCTTTTTGTAGAATCTGCAAGTGGATATTTGGATAGCTGTGAAGATTTCGTTGGAAACGGGAATATCTTCCTATAAAATCTAGACAGAAGCATTCTCAGAAACTGCTCTGTGATGTCTGCATTCAAGTCACAGAGTTGAACATTGCCTTTCATAGAGCAGGTTTGAAACGCTCTTTTTGTAGTATATGGAAGTGGATGTTTCGGACGGTTGGAGGCCCATGGTGATAAAGGGAGTATCTTCCCCTACAAGCTAGAAAGAAGCATTCTGTGAAACTTGTTTGTGATGTGTGTACTCAACTAACAGAGTTGAACCTTTCTTTTTACAGAGCAGTTTTGAAACACTCTTTTTGTAGAATCTGCGAGGGGATAATTGGATAGATTTCAGGATTTCATTGGAAACGGGAATATCTTCATATAAAATCTCGACAGAAGCATTCTCAGAAACTTCTTTGTGATATGTGCATTCAAGTCACAGAGTTGAATATTCCCTTTCACAGAGTAGGTTTGAAACACCCTTTTTGTAGTATCTGGAAGTGGACATTTGGAGCGCCTTGACACCTACGGTGAAAAGGGAAATATCTTCCCATAAAAACTAGACAGAAGCAATCTCAGAATCTTCTTTGGGATATATGCACGCAGCTAACAGAGTTGAACCTTTCTATTGACAGAGCAGTTTTGAAACACTCTTTCTGTGGAATCTGCAAGTGGATATTTCGATAGCTTGGAGGATTTCGTTGGAAACGGGATTACGTATAAAAAGTAGACAGCAGCATCCTCAGAAACTTCTTTGTGATGTGTGCATTCAAGTCACAGAGTTGAACATTCCCTTTCGTACAGCAGTTTTGAAACACTCTTTCTGTAGTATCTGGAAGTGAACATTAGGACAGCTTTCAGGTCTATGGTGAGAAAGGAAATATCTTCAAGTAAAAACTAGACAGAAGCATTCTCATAAACTTGTTTGTGATGTGGGAACTCAGCTAACAGAGGCGGATCTTTCTGTTGATAGAGCAGTTCGGAAAAACACTTTTTGTTGAATCTGCAAGTGGACATTTGGATAGATTTGAAGATTTCGTTGGAAACGGGAATATCTTCATATCAAATCTAGACAGAAGCATTCTCAGAAACGTCTTTCTGATGTTTGCATTCAACTCATAGAGTTGAACATTCCCTTTCAGAGAGCAGCTTTGAAGCACTCTTTTTGTAGTATGTGCAAGGGGATATATGGAGCGCTCTGAGGCCTAAGGTGAAAAAGCAAATATCTTCCCATAACCACTAGACAGAAACATTCTCAGAAACTCCTTTATGACGTATGCACTCACCTAACAGAGAAGAACCTTCCTTTTGACAGAGCAGTTTTGATACACTCTTTTTGTAGAATCTGCAAGTGGATATTGGGATAGCTGTGAAGATTTCGTTGGAAACGGGAATATCTTCCTATAAAATCTAGACAGAAGCATTCTCAGAAACTGCTCTGTGATGTCTGCATTCAAGTCACAGAGTTGAACATTGCCTTTCCTAGAGCAGGTTTGAAACGCTCTTTTTGTAGTATATGGAAGTGGACGTTTCGGACGGTTTGAGGCCCATGGTGATAAAGGGAATATCTTCCCCTATAAGCTAGAAAGAAGCATTCTGTGAAACTTGTTTGTGATGTGTGTACTCAACTAACAGAGTTGAACCTTTCTTTTTACAGAGCAGTTTTGAAACACTCTTTTTGTAGAATCTGCGAGGGGATATTTGGATAGATTTCAGGATTTCGTTGGAAACGGGAATATCTTCATAGAAAATGCTCGACAGAAGCATTCTCAGAAACTTCCTTGTGATATGTGCATTCAAGTCACAGAGTTGAATATTCCCTTTCACAGAGTAGGTTTGAAACACTCTTTTTGTAGTATCTGGAAGTGGACATTTGGAGCGCCTTGACGCCCACGGTGAAAAGGGAAATATCTTCCCATAAAAACTAGACAGAAGCAATCTCAGAATCTTCTTTGGGATATATGCACGCAGCTAACAGAGTTGAACCTTTCTATTGACAGAGCAGTTTTGAAACAGTCTTTCTGTGGAATCTGCAAGTGGATATTTGGATAGCTTGGAGGATTTCGTTGGAAACGGGATTAAGTATAAAAAGTAGACAGCAGCATCCTCAGAAACTTCTTTGTGATGTGTGCATTCAAGTCACAGAGTTGAACATTCCCTTTTGTACAGCAGTTTTGAAACACTCTTTCTGTAGTATCTGGAAGTGAACATTAGGACAGCTTTCAGGTCTATGGTGAGAAAGAAAATATCTTCAAATAAAAACTAGACAAAAGCATTCTCATAAACTTGTTTGTGATGTGTGAACTCAGCTAACAGAGGTGGATCTTTCTTTTGATAGAGCAGTTCTGAAAAACACTTTTTGTTGAATCTGCAAGTGGATATTTGGATAGATTTGAAGATTTCGTTGGAAACGGGAATATCTTCATATCAAATCTAGACAGAAGCATTCTCAGAAACGTCTTTGTGATGTTTGCATTCAACTCATAGAGTTGAACATTCCCTTTCAGAGAGGAGCTTTGAAGCACTCTTTTTGTAGTATGTGCAAGGGGATATTTGGAGCGCTCTGAGGCCTAAGGTGAAAAAGCAAATATCTTCCCATAACCACTAGACAGAAACATTCTCAGAAATTTCTTTATGACGAATTTACTCAACTAGCAGAGAAGAACTTTCCTTTTGACAGAGCACTTTTGATACACTCTTTTTTAGTATCTGCAAGTGGATATTTGGATAGCTGTGAAGATTTCGTTGGAAACGGGAATATCTTCCTATAAACTCTGGACAGAAGCATTCTCAGAAACTGCTCTGTGATGTCTGCATTCAAGTCACAGAGTTCAACATTGCCTTTCATAGAGCAGGTTTGAAACGCTCTTTTTGTAGTATATGGAAGTGGATGTTTCGGACGGTTGGAGGCCCATGGTGACAAAGGGAATATCTTCCCCTACAAGCTAGAAAGAAAGCATTCTGTGAAACTTGTTTGTGATGTGTGTACTCAACTAACAGGAGTTGAACCTTTCTTTTTACAGAGCAGTTTTGAAACACTCTTTTTGTAGAATCTGCGAGGGGATATTTGGATACATTTCAGCATTTCGTTGGAAACGGGAATATCTTCATATAAAATCTCGACAGAAGCATTCTCAGAAACTTCTTTGTGATATGTGCATTCAAGTCACAGAGTTGAATATTCCCTTTCCCAGAGTAGGTTTGAAACACTCTTTTTGTAGTATCTGGAAGTGGACATTTGGAGCGCCTTGACACCTACGGTGAAAAGGGAAATATCTTCCCATAAAAACTAGACAGAAGCAATCTCAGAATCTTCTTTGGGATATATGCACGCAGCTAACAGAGTTGAACCTTTCTATTGACAGAGCAGTTTTGAAACAGTCTTTCTGTGCAATCTGCAAGTGGATATTTGGATAGCTTGGAGGATTTCGTTGGAAACGGGATTACGTATAAAAAGTAGACAGCAGCATCCTCAGAAACTTCTTTGTGATGTGTGCATTCAAGTCACAGAGTTGAACATTCCCTTTCGTACAGCAGTTTTGAAACACTCTTTCTGTAGTATCTGGAAGTGAACATTAGGACAGCTTTCAGTTCTATGGTGAGAAAGGAAATATCTTCAAATAAAAACTAGACAGAAGCATTCTCATCAACTTGTTTGTGATGTGTGAACTCAGCTAACACACGTGGATCTTTCTTTTGATAGAGCAGTTCTGAAAAACACTTTGTTGAATCTGCAAGTGGACATTTGGATAGATTTCAAGATTTCGTTGGAAACGGGAATATCTTCATATCAAATCTAGACAGAAGCATTCTCAGAAACGTCTTTGTGATGTTTGCATTCAACTCATAGAATTGAACATTGCGGTTCAGAGAGCAGCTTTGAAGCACTCTTTTTGTAGTATGTGCAAGTGGATATTTGGAGCGCTCTGAGGCCTAAGGTGAAAAAGCAAATATCTTCCCATAACCACTAGACAGAAACATTCTCAGAAACTTCTTTATGACGTATGTACTCAACTAGCAGAGAAGAACTTTCCTTTTGACAGAGCACTTTTGATACACTCTTTTTGTAGTATCTGCAAGTGGATATTTGGATAGCTGTGAAGATTTCGTTTGAAACGGGAATATCTTCCTATAAAGTCTGGACAGAAGCATTCTCAGAAACTGCTCTGTGATGTCTGCATTCAAGTCACAGAGTTGAACATTGCCTTTCATAGAGCAGGTTTCAAACACTCTTTTTTTAGTATATGGAAGTGGACGTTTCGGACGGTTTGAGGACCATGGTGATAAAGGAAATATCTTCCCCTACAAGCTAGAAAGAAGCATTGTGTGAAACTTGTTTGTGATGTGTGTACTCAACTAACAGAGTTGAACCTTTCTTTTTACAGAGCAGTTTTGAAACACTCTTTTTGTAGAATCTGCAAGGGGATATTTGGATAGATTTCAGGATTTCGTTGGAAACGGGAATATCTTCATATAAAATCTCGACAGAAGCATTCTCAGAAACTTCTTTGTGATATCTGCATTCAAGTCACAGAGTTGAATATTCCCTTTCACAGAGTAGGTTTGAAACACTCTTTTTGTAGTATCTGGAAGTGGGCATTTGGAGCGCTTTGACGCCTACGGTGAAAAGGGAAATATCTTCCCATAAAAACTAGACAGAAGCAATCTCAGAATCTTCTTTGGGATATATGCACGCAGCTAACAGAGTTGAACCTTTCTATTGACAGAGCAGTTTTGAAACAATCTTTCTGTGGAATCTGCAAGTGGATATTTGGATAGCTTGGAGGATTTCGTTGGAAACGGGATTACGTATAAAAAGTAGACAGCAGCATCCTCAGGAACTTCTTTGTGATGTGTGCATTCAAGTCACAGAGTTGAACATTCCCTTCCGTACAGCAGTTTTGAAACACTCTTTCTGTAGTATCTGGAAGTGAACATTAGGACAGCTTTCAGGTTTATGGTGAGAAAGGAAATATCTTCAAATAAAAACTAGACAGAAGCATTCTCATAAACTTGTTCGTAATGTGTGAACTCAGCTAACACACGTGGATCTTTCTTTTGATAGAGCAGTTCTGAAAAACACTTTTTTTTGAATCTGCAAGTGGACATTTGGATAGATTTGAAGATTTCGTTGGAAACGGGAATATCTTCATATCAAATCTAGACAGAAGCATTCTCAGAAACGTCTTTGTGATGTTTGCATTCAACTCATAGAGTTGAACATTCCGTTTCAGAGAGCAGCTTTGAAGCACTCTTTTTGTAGTATATGCAAGTGGATATTTGGAGCGCTCTGAGGCCTACGGTGAAAAAGCAAATATCTTCCCATAACCACTAGACAGAAACATTCTCAGAAACTCCTTTATGACGGTATGCACTCACCTAACAGAGAAGAACCTTCCTTTTGACAGAGCAGTTTTGATACACTCTTTTTGTAGAATCTGCAAGTGGATATTTGGATACCTGTGAAGATTTCGTTGGAAACGGGAATATCTTCCTATAAAATCTAGACAGAAGCATTCTCAGAAACTGCTCTGTGATGTCTGCATTCAAGTCACAGAGTTGAACATTGCCTTTCATAGAGCAGGTTTGAAATGCTCTTTTTGTAGTATATGGAAGTGGACGTTTCAGACGGTTTGAGGCCCATGGTGATAAAGGGAATATCTTCCCCTAAAAGCTAGAAAGAAGCATTCTGTGAAACTTGTTTGTGATGTGTGTACTCAACTAACAGAGTTGAACCTTTCTTTTTACAGAGCAGTTTTGAAACACTCTTTTTGTAGAATCTGCGAGGGGATATTTGGATAGATTTCAGGATTTCGTTGGCAACGGGAGTATCTTCACATAAAATCTCGACAGAAGCATTCTCAGAAACTTCCTTGTGATATGTGCATTCAAGTCACAGAGTTGAATATTCCCTTTCACAGAGTAGGTTTGAAACACTCTTTTTGTAGTATCTGGAAGTGGTCATTTGGAGCGCCTTGACGCCACGGTGAAAAGGGAAATATCTTCCCATAAAAACTAGACAGAAGCAATCTCAGAATCTTCTTTGGGATATATGCATGCAGCTAACAGAGTTGAACCTTTCTATTGACAGAGCAGTTTTGAAACAGTCTTTCTGTGGAATCTGCAAGTGGATATTTGGATAGCTTGGAGGATTTCGTTGGAAACGGTATTACATATAAAAAGTAGACAGCAGCATACTCAGAAACTTCTTTGTGATGTGTGCATTCAAGTCACAGAGTTGAACATTCCCTTTCGTACAGCAGTTTTGAAACACTCTTTCTGTAGTATCTGGAAGTGAACATTAGGACAGCTTTCAGGTCTATGGTGAGAAAGGAAATATCTTCAAATAAAAACTAGACAGAAGCATTCTCATAAACTTGTTCGTAATGTGTGAACTCAGCTAACACACGTGGATCTTTCTTTTGATAGAGCAGTTCTGAAAAACACTTTTTGTTGAATCTGCAAGTGGACATTTGGATAGATTTGAAGATTTCGTTGGAAACGGGAATATCTTCATATCAAATCTAGACAGAAGCATTCTCGGAAACGTCTTTGTGATGTTTGCATTCAACTCATAGAGTTGAACATTCCGTTTCAGAGAGCAGCTTTGAAGCACTCTTTTTGTAGTATGTGCAAGGGGATATTTGGAGCGCTCTGAGGCCTAAGGTGAAAAAGCAAATATCTTCCCATAACCACTAAACAGAAACATTCTCAGAAACTTCTTTATGACGTATGTACTCAACTAGCAGAGAAGAACTTTCCTTTTGAGAGAGCATTTTTGATACACTCTTTTTGTAGTATCTGCAGGTGGATATTTGGATAGCTGTGAAGATTTCGTTGGAAACGGGAATATCTTCCTATAAAGTCTGGACAGAAGCATTCTCAGAAACTGCTCTGTGATGTCTGCATTCAAGTCACAGAGTTGAACATTGCCTTTCCTAGAACAGGTTTGAAACGCTCTTTTTGTAGTATATGGAAGTGGACGTTTCGGCCTGTTTGAGGCCCATGGTGATAAAGGGAATATCTTCCCCTACAAGCTAGAAAGAAGCATTGTGTGAAACTTGTTTGTGATGTGTGTACTCAACTAACAGAGTTGAACCTTTCTTTTTACAGAGCAGTTTTGAAACACTCTTTTTGTAGAATCTGCGAGGGGAAATTTGGATAGATTTCAGGATTTCGTTGGAAACGGGAATATCTTCATATAAAATCTCGACAGAAGCATTCTCAGAAACTTCTTTGTGATATCTGCATTCAAGTCACAGAGTTGAATATTCCCTTTCACAGAGTAGGTTTGAAACACTCTTTGTAGTATCTGGAAGTGGACATTTGGAGCGCCTTGACGCCTACGGTGAAAAGGGAAATATCTTCCCATAAAAACTAGACAGAAGCAATCTCAGAATCTTCTTTGGGATATATGCACGCAGCTAACAGAGTTGAACCTTTCTATTGACAGAGCAGTTTTGAAACAGTCTTTCTGTGGAATCTGCAAATGGATATTTGGATAGCTTGGAGGATTTCGTTGGAAACGGGATTATGTATAAAAAGTAGACAGCAGCATCCTCAGAAACTTCTTTGTGATGTGTGCATTCAAGTCCCAGAGTTGAACATTCCCTTTCGTACAGCAGTTTTGAAACACTCTTTCTGTAGTATCTGGAAGTGAACATTAGGACAGCTTTCAGGTCTATGGTGAGAAAGGAAATATCTTCAAATAAAAACTAGACAGAAGCATTCTCATAAACTTGTTTGTGATGTCTGAACTCAGCTAACAGAGGTGGATCTTTCTTTTGATAGAGCAGTTCTGAAAAACACTTTTGGTTGAATCTGCAAGTGGACATTTGGATAGATTTGAAGACTTCGTTGGAAACGGGAATATCTTCATATCAAATCTAGACAGAAGCATTCTCAGAAATGTCTTTGTGATGTTTGCATTCAACTCATAGAGTTGAACATTCCGTTTCAGAGACCAGCTTTGAAGCACTCTTTTTGTAGTATGTGCAAGTGGATATTTGGAGCGCTCTGAGGCCTACGGTGAAAAAGCAAATATCTTCCCATAACCACTAGACAGAAACATTCTCAGAAACTTCTTTATGACGTATGTACTCAACTAGCAGAGAAGAACTTTCCTTTTGACAGAGCATTTTTGATACACTCTTTTTGTACTATCTGCAAGTGGATATTTGGATAGCTGTGAAGATTTCGTTGGAAACGGGAATATCTCCCTATAAAGTCTGGACAGAAGCATTCTCAGAAACTGCTCTGTGATGTCTGCATTCAAGTCACAGAGTTGAACATTGCCTTTCATAGAGCAGGTTTGAAACGCTCTTTTTGTATTATATGGAAGTGGATGTTTCGGACGGTTGGAGGCCCATGGTGATAAAGGGAATATCTTCCCCTACAAGCTAGAAAGAAGCATTCTGTGAAACTTGTTTGTGATGTGTGTACTCAACTAACAGAGTTGAACCTTTCTTTTTACAGAGCAGTTTTGAAACACTCTTTTTGTAGAATCTGCGAAGGGAAATTTGGATAGATTTCAGGATTTCGTTGGAAACGGGAATATCTTCATACAAAATCTCGACAGAAGCATTCTCAGAAACTTCTTTGTGATATGTGCATTCAAGTCACAGAGTTGAATATTCCCGTTCACAGAGTAGGTTTGAAACACTCTTTTTGTAGTATCTGGAAGTGGACATTTGGAGCGCCTTGACTCCTACCGCGTGAAAAGGGAAATATCTTCCCATAAAAACTAGACAGAAGCAATCTCAGAATCTTCTTTGTGATATATGCACGCAGCTAACAGAGTTGAACCTTTCTATTGACAGAGCAGTTTTGAAACAGTCTTTCTGTGGAATCTGCAAGTGGATATTTGGATAGCTTGGAGGATTTCGTTGGAAACGGGATTATGTATAAAAAGTAGACAGCAGCATCCTCAGAAACTTCTTTGTGATGTGTGCATTCAAGTCACAGAGTTGAACATTCCCTTTCGTACAGCAGTTTTGAAACACTCTTTCTGTAGTATCTGGAAGTGAACATTAGGAGAGCTTTCAGGTCTATGTTGAGAAAGGAAATATCTTCAAATAAAAACTAGACAGAAAGCATTCTCATAAACTTCTTTGTGATGTGTGAACTCAGCTAACCGAGGTGGATCTTTCTTTTGATAGAGCAGTTCTGAAAAAAACTTTTTGTTGAATCTGCAAGTGGACATTTGGATAGATTTGAAGATTTCGTTGGGAACGGGAATATCTTCATATCAAATCTAGACAGAAGCATTCTCGGAAACGTCTTTGTGATGTTTGCATTCAACTCATAGAGTTGAACATTCCGTTTCAGAGAGCAGCTTTGAAGCACTCTTTTTGTAGTATGTGCAAGTGGATATTTGGAGCGCTCTGAGGCCTACGGTGAAAAAGCAAATATCTTCCCATAACCACTAGACAGAAAGATTCTCAGAAACTCCTTTATGACGTATGCACTCACCTAACAGAGAAGAACCTTCCTTTTGACAGAGCAGTTTTGATACACTCTTTTTGTAGAATCTGCAAGTGGATATTTGGATAGCTGTGAAGATTTCGTTGGAAACGGGAATATCTTCCTATAAAATCTAGACAGAAGCATTCTCAGAAACTGCTCTGTGATGTCTGCATTCAAGTCACAGAGTTGAACATTGCCTTTCCTAGAGCAGGTTTGAAACGCTCTTTTTGTAGTATATGGAAGTAAACGTTTCGGACGGTTTGAGGCCCATGGTGATAAAGGGAATATCTTCCCCTACAAGCTAGAAAGAAGCATTGTGTGAAACTTGTTTGTGATGTGTGTACTCAACTAACAGAGTTGAACCTTTCTTTTTACAGAGCAGTTTTGAAACACTCTTTTTTTAGAATCTGCGAGGGGATATTTGGATACATTTCAGGATTTCGTTGGAAACGGGAATATCTTCATATAAAATCTCGACAGAAGCATTCTCAGAAACTTCTTTGTGATATGTGCATTCGAGTCACAGAGTTGAATATTCCCTTTCACAGAGTAGGTTTGAAACACTCTTTTTGTAGTATCTGGAAGTGGACATTTGGAGCGCCTTGACGCCTACGGTGAAAAGGGAAATATCTTCCCATAAAAACTAGACAGAAGCAATCTCAGAATCTTCTTTGTGATATATGCACGCAGCTAACAGAGTTGAACCTTTCTATTGACTGAGCAGATTTGAAACAGTCTTTCTGTGGAATCTGCAAGTGGATATTTGGATAGCTTGGAGGATTTCGTTGGAAACGGGATTACGTATAAAAAGTAGACAGCAGCATCCTCAGAAACTTCTTTGTGATGTGTGCATTCAAGTCACAGAGTTGAACATTCCCTTTCGTACAGCAGTTTTGAAACACTCTTTCTGTAGTATCTGGAAGTGAACATTAGGATAGCTTTCAGGTCTATGGTGAGAAAGGGAATATCTTCAAATAAAAACTAGACAGAAGCATTCTCATAAACTTGTTTGTGATGTGTGAACTCAGCAAACAGCGGTGGATCTTTCTTTTGATAGAGCAGTTCTGAAAAACACTTTTTGTTGAATCTGCAAGTGGACATTTGGATAGTTTTGAAGGTTTCGTTGGAAACGGGAATATCTTCATATCAAATCTAGACAGAAAGGATTCTCGGAAACGTCTTTGTGATGTTTGCATTCAACTCATAGAGTTGAACATTCCCTTTCAGAGAACAGCTTTGAAGCACTCTTTTTGTAGTATGTGCAAGGGGATATTTGGAGCGCTCTGAGGCCTAAGGTGAAAAAGCAAATATCTTCCCATAACCACTAGACAGAAACATTGCTCAGAAACTCCTTTATGACGTATGCACTCACCTAACAGAGAAGAACCTTCCTTTTGACAGAGCAGTTTTGATACACTCTTTTTGTAGAATCTGCAAGTGGATATTTGGATAGCTGTGAAGATTTCGTTGGAAACGGGAATATCTTCCTATAAAATCTAGACAGAAGCATTCTCAGAAACTGCTCTGTGATGTCTGCATTCAAGTCACAGAGTTGAACATTGCCTTTCATAGAGCAGGTTTGAAACTCTCTTTTTGTAGTATATGGTAGTAGACGTTTCGGACGGTTTGAGGCCCATGGTGATAAAGGGAATATGTTACCCTACAAGCTAGAAAGAAGCATTCTGTGAAACTTGTTTGTGATGTGTGTACTCAACTAACAGAGTTGAACGTTTCTTTTTACAGAGCAGTTTTGAAACACTCTTTTTGTAGAATCTGCGAGGGGATATTTGGATACATTTCAGGATTTCGTTGGAAACGGGAATATCTTCATATAAAATCTCGACAGAAGCATTCTCAGAAACTTCTTTGTGATATGTGCATTCAAGTCACAGAGTTGAATATTCCCTTTCACAGAGTAGGTTTGAAACACTCTTTTTGTAGTATCTGGAAGTGGACATTTTGAACGCCTTGACACCTACGGTGAAAAGGGAAATATCTTCCCATAAAAACTAGACAGAAGCAATCTCAGAATCTTCTTTGGGATATATGCACGCAACTAACAGCAGTTGAACCTTTCTATTGACAGAGCAGTTTTGAAACAGTCTTTCTGTGGAATCTGCAAGTGGATATTTGGATAGCTTGGAGGATTTCTTTGGAAATGGGATTACGTATAAAAAGTAGACAGCAGCATCCTCAGAAACTTCTTTGTGATGTGTGCATTCAAGTCACAGAGTTGAACATTCCCTTTCGTACAGCAGTTTTGAAACACTCTTTCTGTAGTATCTGGAAGTGAACTTTAGGACAGCTTTCAGGTCTATAGTGAGAAAGGATATATCTTCAAATAAAAACTAGACGGAAGCATTCTGATAAACTTGTTTGTGAAGTGTGAACTCAGCTAACAGAGGTGGATCTTTCTTTCGAAACAGCAGTTTCGAAAAACACTTTTTGTTGAATCTGCAAGTGGACATTTGAATAGATTTGAAGATTTCGTTGGAAAGAGGAATATCTTCATATGAAATCTAGACAGAAGCATTCTCAGAAACGTCTTTGTGATGTTTGCATTCAACTCATAGAGTTGAACATTCCGTTTCAGAGAACAGCTTTGAAGCACTCTTTTTGTAGTATGTGCAAGTGGATATTTGGAGCGCTCTGAGGCCTACGGGGTTAAAGAAAATGTCTAACCATAACCACTAGACTGAAACATTCTCAGAAACTCCTTTATGACGTTTGTACTCAACTAACAGAGAAGAACGTTCCTATTGACAGAGCAGTTTTGATACACTCTTTTTGTAGAATCTGCAAGTGGATATTTGGATAGCTGTGAAGATTTCGTTGGAAACGGGAATATCTTCCTATAAAATCTAGACAGAAGCATTCTCAGAAACTGCTCTGTGATGTCTGCATTCAAGTCACAGAGTTGAACATTGCCTTTCCTAGAGCAGGTTTGAAACGCTCTTTTTGTAGTATATGGAAGTGGACTTTTCGGACGGTTTGAGGCCCATGGTGATAAAGGGAATATCTTCCCCTACAAGCTAGAAAGAAGCATTCTGTGAAACTTGTTTGTGATGTGTGTACTCAACTAACAGAGTTGAACCTTTCTTTTTACAGAGCAGTTTTGAAACACTCTTTTTGTAGAATCTGCGAGGGGATATTTGGAGAGACTTCAGGATTTCGTTGGAAACGGGAATATCTTCATATAAAATCTCGACAGAAGCATTCTCAGAAACTTCTTTGTGATATCTGCCTTCAAGTCACAGAGTTGAATATTCCCTTTCACAGAGTAGGTTTGAAACACTCTTTTTGTAGTATCTGGAAGTGGACATTTGGAGCGCCTCGACACCTACGGTGAAAAGGGAAATATCTTCCCATAAAAACTAGACAGAAGCAATCTCAGAATCTTCTTTGGGATATATGCACGCAGCTAACAGAGTTGAACCTTTCTATTGACAGAGCAGTTTTGAAACAGTCTTTCTGGGGAATCTGCAAGTGGATATTTGGATAGCTTGGAGGATTTCGTTGGAAACAGGATTACGTATAAAAAGTAGACAGCAGCATCCTCAGAAACTTCTTTGTGATGTGTGCATTCAAGTCACAGAGTTGAACATTCCCTTTCGTACAGCAGTTTTGAAACACTCTTTCTGTAGTATCTGGAAGTGAACATTAGAACAGCTTTCAGCTCTATGGTGAGAAAGGAAATATCTTCAAATAAAAACTAGACAGAAGCATTCTCATAAACTTGTTTGTGATGTGTGAACTCAGCTAACAGAGGTGGATCTTTCTTTTGATAGAGCAGTTCTGAAAAACACGTTTTGTTGAATCTGCAAGTGGACATTTGGATAGATTTGAAGATTTCGTTGGAAACGGGAATATCGTCATATCAAATCTAGACAGAAGCATTCTCAGAAACGTCTTTGTGATGTTTGCATTCAACTCATAGAGTTGAACATTCCCTTTCAGAGAGCAGCTTTGAAGCACTCTTTTTGTAGCATTTGCAAGTGGACATTTGGAGCGCCCTGAGGCATACGGGGAAAAAGCAAATATCTTCCCATAACCACTAGACAGAAACATTCTCAGAAACTCCTGTATGACGTGTGCACTCACCTAACAGAGAAGAACCTTCCTTTTGACAGAGCAGTTTTGATACACTCTTTTTGTAGAATTTGCAAGTGGATATTTGGATAGCTGTGAAGATTTCGTTGGAAACGGGAATATCTTCCTATAAAATCTAGACAGAAGCATTCTCAGAAACTGCTCTGTGATGTCTGCATTCAAGTCACAGAGTTGAACATTGCCTTTCCTAGAGCAGGTTTGAAACGCTCTTTTTGTAGTATATGAAAGTGGACGTTTCGGACGGTTTGAGGACCATGGTGATAAAGGGAATATCTTCCCCTACAAGCTAGAAAGAAGCATTCTGTGAAACTTGTTTGTGATGTGTGTACTCAACTAACAGAGTTGAACCTTTCTTTTCACAGAGCAGTTTTGAAACACTCTTTTTGTAGAATCTGCGAGGGGATATTTGGATAGATTTCAGGATTTCGTTGGAAAGGGGAATATCTTCATATAAAATCTCGACAGAAGCATTCTCAGAAACTTCTTTGTGATATCTGCCTTTAAGTCACAGAGTTGAATATTCCCTTTCACAGAGTAGGTTTGAAACACTCTTTTTGTAGTATCTGGAAGTGGACATTTGGAGCGCCTTGACACCTACGGTGAAAAGGGAAATATCTTCCCATAAAAACTAGACAGAAGGAATCTCAGAATCTTCTTTGGGATATATGCACGCAGCTAACAGAGTTGAACCTTTCTATTGACAGAGCAGTTTTGAAACAGTCTTTCTGTGGAATCTGCACGTGGATATTTGGATAGCTTGGAGGATTTCGTTGGAAACGGGATTACGTATAAAAAGTAGACAGCAGCATCCTCAGAAACTTCTTTGTGATGTGTGCATTCAAGTCACAGTGTTGAACATTCCCTTTCGTACAGCAGTTTTGAAACACTCTTTCTGTAGTATCTGGAAGTGAACATTAGGACAGCTTTCAGGTCTATGGTGAGAAAGGAAATATCTTCAAATAAAAACTAGACAGAAGCATTCTCATAAACTTGTTTGTGATGTGTGAACTCAGCTAACAGAGGTGGATCTTTCTTTTGATAGAGCAGTTCTGAAAAACACTTTTTGTTGAATCTGCAAGTGGACATTTGGATAGATTTGAAGATTTCGTTGGAAACGGGAATATCTATATATCAAATCTAGACAGAAGCATTCTCAGAAACGTCTTTGTGATGTTTGCATTCAACTCATAGAGTTGAACATTCCGTTTCAGAGAGCAGGTTTGAAGCACTCTCTTTGTAGTATGTGCAAGTGGATATTTGGAGGGCTCTGAGGCCTACGGTGAAAAAGCAAATATCTTCCCATAACCACTAGACAGAAACATTCTCAGAAACTCCTTTATGACGTATGCACTCACCTAACAGAGAAGAACCTTCCTTTTGACGGAGCAGTTTTGATACACTCTTTTTGTAGAATCTGCAAGTGGATATTTGGATAGCTGTGAAGATTTCGTTGGAAACGGGAATATCTTCCTATAAAATCTAGACAGAAGCATTCTCAGAAACTGCTCTGTGATGTCTGCATTCAAGTCACAGAGTTGAACATTGCCTTTCATAGAGCAGGTTTGGAACGCTCTTTTTGTAGTATATGGAAGTGGACGTTTCGGACGGTTTGAGGCCCATGGTGATAAAGGGAATATCTTCCCCTACAAGCTAGAAAGAAGCATTCTGTGAAACTTGTTTGTGATGTGTGTACTCAACTAACAGAGTTGAACCTTTCTTTTTACAGAGCAGTTTTGAAACACTCCTTTTGTAGAATCTGCGAGGGGATATTTGGATAGATTTCAGGATTTCGTTGGAAACGGGAATATCTTCATATAAAATCTCGACAGAAGCATTCTCAGAAACTTCTTTGTGATATCTGCCTTTAAGTCACAGAGTTGAATATTCCCTTTCACAGAGTAGGTTTGAAACACTCTTTTTGTAGTATCTGGAAGTGGACATTTGGAGCGCCTTGACGCCTACGGTGAAAAGGGAAATATCTTCCCATAAAAACTAGACAGAAGCAATCTCAGAATCTTCTTTGGGATATATGCACGCAGCTAACAGAGTTGAACCTTTCTATTGACAGAGCAGTTTTGAAACAGTCTTTCTGTGGAATCTGCAAGTGGATATTTGGATAGCTTTGAGGATTTCGTTGGAAACGGGATTACGTATAAAAATTAGACAGCATCATCCTCAGAAACTTCTTTGTGATGTGTGCATTCAAGTCACAGAGTTGAACATTCCCTTTCGTACAGCAGTTTTGAAACACTCTTTCTATAGTATCTGGAAGTGAACATTAGGACAGCTTTCAGGTCTATGGTGAGAAAGGAAATATCTTCAAATAAAAACTAGACAGAAGCATTCTCATAAACTTCTTTGTGATGTGTGAACTCAGCTAACAGACGTGGATCTTTCTTTTGATACAGCAGTTTTGAGAAACACTTTGTTGAATCTGCAAGTGGACATTTGGATAGATTTGAAGATTTCGTTGGAAACGGGTATATCTTCATATCAAATCTAGACAGAAGCATTCTCAGAAACGTCTTTGTGATGTTTGCATTCAACTCATAGAGTTGAACATTCCGTTTCAGAGACCAGCTTTGAAGCACTCTTTTTGTAGTATGTGCAAGTGGATATTTGGAGCGCTTCTGAGGCCTACGGTGAAAAAGCAAATATCTTCCCATAACCACTAGACAGAAACATTCTCAGAAAATCCTTTATGACGTATGCACTCACCTAACAGAGAAGAACCTTCCTTTTGACAGAGCAGTTTTGATACACTCTTTTTGTAGAATCTGCAAGTGGATATTTGGATAGCTGTGAAGATTTCGTTGGAAACGGGAATATCTTCCTATAAAATCTAGACAGAAGCATTCTCAGAAACTGCTCTGTGATGTCTGCATTCAAGTCACAGAGTTGAACATTGCCTTTCATAGAGCAGGTTTCAAACACTCCTTTTTTAGTATATGGAAGTGGACGTTTCGGACGGTTTGAGTACCATGGTGATAAAGGAAATATCTTCCCCTACAAGCTAGAAAGAAGCATTCTGTGAAACTTGTTTGTGATGTGTGTACTCAACTAACAGAGTTGAACCTTTCTTTTTACAGAGCAGTTTTGAAACACTCTTTTTGTAGAATCTGTGAGGGGATATTTGGATAGATTTCAGGATTTCGTTGGAAACGGGAATATCTTCATATAAAATCTCGACAGAAGCATTCTCAGAAACTTCTTTGTGATATCTGCATTCAAGTCACAGAGTTGAATATTCCCTTTCACAGAGTAGGTTTGAAACACTCCTTTTGTAGTATCTGGAAGTGGACATTTGGAGCGCCTTGACGCCTACGGTGAAAAGGGAAATATCTTCCCATAAAAACTAGACAGAAGCAATCTCAGAATCATCTTTGGGATATATGCACGCAGCTAACAGAGTTCAACCTTTCTATTGACAGAGCAGTTTTGAAACAGTCTTTCTGTGGAATCTGCAAGTGGATATTTGGATAGCTTGGAGGATTTCGTTGGAAACGGGATTACGTATAAAAAGTAGACAGCAGCATCCTCAGAAACTTCTTTGTGATGTGTGCATTCAAGTCACAGAGTTGAACATTCCCTTTCGTACAGCAGTTTTGAAACACTCTTTCTGTATTATCTGGGAGTGAACATTAGGACAGCTTTCAGGTCTATGGTGAGAAAGGAAATATCTTCAAATAAAAACCAGACAGAAGAATTCTGATAAACTTGTTTGTGAAGTGTGAACTCAGCTAACAGAGGTGGATCTTTCTTTTGATACAGCAGTTTTGAAAAACACTTTGTTGAATCTGCAAGTGGACATTTGGATAGATTTGAAGATTTCGTTGGAAACGGGAATATCTTCATATCAAATCTAGACAGAAGCATTCTCAGAAACGTCTTTGTGATGTTTGCATTCAACTGATAGGGTTGAACATTCCCTTTCAGAGAGCAGCTTTGAAGCAATCTTTTTGTAGCATGTGCAAGTGGACATTTTGAGCGCTCTGAGGCCTATGGTGAAAAAGCAAATATCTTCCCATAACCACTAGACAGAAACATTCTCAGAAACTTCTTTATGACGTATGTACTCAACTAGCAGAAAAGAACTTTCCTTTTGACAGAGCTTTTTTGATACACTCTTTTTGTAGTATCTGCAAGTGGATATTTGGATAGCTGTAAAGATTTCGTTGGAATCGGGAATATCTTCCTATAAAGTCTGGACAGAAGCATTCTCAGAAACTGCTCTGTGATGTCTGCATTCAAGTCACAGAGTTGAACATTGCCTTTCATACAGCAGGTTTGAAATGCTCTTTTTGTAGTATATGGAAGTGGACGTTTCAGACGGTTTGAGGCCCATGGTGATAAAGGGAATATCTTCCGCTACAAGCTAGAAAGAAGCATTCTGTGAAACTTGTTTGTGATGTGTGTACTCAACTAACAGAGTTAAACCTTTCTTTTTACAGAACAGTTTTGAAACACTCTTGTTGTAGAATCTGCGAGGGGATATTTGGATAGATTTCAGGATTTCGTTGGAAACGGGAATATCTTCATATAAAATCTCGACAGAAGCATTCTCAGAAACTTCATTGTGATATGTGCATTCAAGTCACAGAGTTGAATATTCCCTTTCACAGAGTAGGTTTGAAACACTCTTTTTGTAGTATCTGGAAGTGGACATTTGGAGCGCTTTGACGCCTACGGTGAAAAGGGAAATATCTTCTCATAAAAACTAGACAGAAGCAATCTCAGAATCTTCTTTGGGATATATGCACGCAGCTAACAGAGTTGAACCTTTCTATTGACAGAGCAGTTTTGAAACAGTCTTTCTGTGGAATCTGCAAGTGGATATTTGGATAGCTTGGAGGATTTCGTTGGAAACGGGATTACAGTATAAAAAGTAGACAGCAGCATCCTCAGAAACTTCCTTGTGATGTGTGCATTCAAGACACACAGTTGAACATTCCCTTTCGTACAGCAGTTTTGAAACACTCTTTCTGTAGTATCTGGAAGTGAACATTAGGAGAGCTTTGAGGTCTATAGTGAGAAAGGGTATATCTTCAAATAAAAACTAGACAGAAGCATTCTCATAAACTTGTTTGTGATGTGTGAACTCATCTAACAGAGGTGGATCTTTCTTTTGATAGAGCAGTTCTGAAAAACACTTTTTGTGGAATCTGCAAGTGGACATTTGGATAGATTTGAAGATTTCGTTGGAAACGGGAATATCTTCATATCAAATCTAGACAGAAGCATTCTCAGAAACCTCTTTGTGATGTTTGCATTCAACTCATAGAGTTGAACATTCCGTTTCAGAGAGCAGCTTTGAAGCACTCTTTTTGTAGTATGTGCAAGTGGATATTTGGAGCGCTGTGAGGCCTACGGTGAAAAAGCAAATATCTTCCCATAACCACTAGACAGAAACATTCTCAGAAACTCCTTTATGACGTATGCACTCACCTAACAGAGAAGAACCTTCCTTTTGACAGAGCAGTTTTGATACACTCTTTTTGTAGAATCTGCAAGTGGATATTTGGATAGCTGTGAAGATTTCGTTGGAAACGGGAATTTCTTCCTATAAAATCTAGACAGAGGCATTCTCAGAAACAGCTCTGTGATGTCTGCATTCAAGTCACAGAGTTGAACATTGCCTATCATAGAGCAGGTTTGAAACGCTCTTTTTGAAGTATATGGAAGTGGACGTTTCAGACGGTTTGAGGCCCAGGGTGATAAAGGGAATATATTCCCCTACAAGCTAGAAAGAAGCATTCTGTGAAACTTGTTTGTGATGTGTGCACTCAACTAACAGAGTTGAACCTTTCTTTTTACAGAGCAGTTTTGAAACACTCTTTTTGTAGAATCTGTGAGGGGATATTTGGATACATTTCAGGATTTCGTTGGAAACGGGAATATCTTCATATAAAATCTCGACAGAAGCATTCTCAGAAACTTCTTTGTGATATGTGCATTCAAGTCACAGAGTTGAATATTCCCTTTCACAGAGTAGGTTTGAAACACTCTTTTTGTAGTATCTGGAAGTGGACATCTGGAGCGCCTTGACACCTACGGTGAAAAGGGAAATATCTTCCCATAAAAACTAGACAGAAGCAATCTCAGAATCTTCTTTGGGATATATGCACGCAGCTAACAGAGTTGAACCTTTCTATTGACAGAGCAGTTTTGAAACAGTCTTTCTGTGGAATCTGCAAGTGGATATTTGGATAGCTTGGAGGATTTCATTGGAAACGGGATTACGTATAAAAAGTAGACAGCAGCATCCTCAGAAACTTCTTTGTGATGTGTGCATTCAAGTCACAGAGTTGAACATTCCCTTTCGTACAGCAGTTTTGAAACACTCTTTCTGTAGCATCTTTAAGTGAACATTAGGACAGCTTTCAGGTCTATGGTGAGAAAGGAAATATCTTCAAATAAAAACTAGACAGAAGCATTCTCATAAACTTGTTTCTGATGTGTGAACTCAGCTAACAGAGGTGGATCTTTCTTTTGATAGAGCAGATCTGAAAAACACTTTTTGTTGAATCTGCAAGTGGACATTTGGATAGATTTGAAGATTTCGTTGGAAACGGGAATATCTTCATATCAAATCTAGACAGAAGCATTGTCAGAAACGTCTTTGTGATGTTTGCATTCAACTCATAGAGTTGAACATTCCCTTTCAGAGAGCAGCTTTGAAGCACTCTTTTTGTAGTATGTGCAAGTGGATATTTGGAGCGCTCTGAGGCCTTCGGTGAAAAAGCAAATATCTTCCCATAACCACTAGACAGAAACATTCTCAGAAACTCCTTTATGACGTATGCACTCACCTAACAGAGAAGAACCTTCCATTTGACAGAGCAGTTTTGATACACTCTTTTTGTAGAATCTGCAAGTGGATATTTGGATAGCTGTGAAGATTTCGCTGGAAACGGGAATATCTTCCTATAAAATGCTAGACAGAAGCATTCTCAGAAACTGCTCTGTGATGTCTGCATTCAAGTCACAGAGTTGAACATTGCCTTTCATAGAGCAGGTTTGAAACGCTCTTTTTGTAGTATATGGAAGTGGATGTTTCGGACGGTTGGAGGCCCATGGTGATAAAGGGATTATCTTCCCCTACAAGCTAGAAAGAAGCATTCTGTGAAACTTGTTTGTGATGTGTGTACTCAACTAACAGAGTTGAACCTTTCTTTTTACAGAGCAGTTTTGAAACACTCTTTTTGTAGAATCTGCGAGGGGATATTTGGATACATTTCAGCATTTCGTTGGAAACGGGAATATATTCATATAAAATCTCGACAGAAGCTTTCTCAGAAACTTCTTTGTGATATGTGCATTCAATTCACAGAGTTGAATATTCCCTTTCACAGAGTAGGTTTGAAACACTCTTTTTGTAGTATCTGGAAGTGGACATTTGGAGCGCCTTGACACCTACGGTGAAAAGGGAAATATCTTCCCATAAAAACTAGACAGAAGCAATCTCAGAATCTTCTTTGGGATATATGCACGCAGCTAACAGAGTTGAACCTTTCTATTGACAGAGCAGTTTTGAAACAGTCTTTCTGTGGAATCTGCAAGTGGATATTTGGATAGCTTGGAGGATTTCGTTGGAAACGGAATTACGTATAAAAAGTAGACAGCAGCATCCTCAGAAACTTCTTTGTGATGTGAGCATTCAAGTCACAGAGTTGAACATTCCCTTTCGTACAGCAGTTTTGAAACACTCTTTCTGTAGTATCTGGAAGTCAACGTTAGGACAGCTTTCAGCTCTATGGTGAGAAAGGAAATATCTTCAAATAAAAACTAGACAGAAACATTCTCATAAACTTGTTTGTGATGTGTGAACTCAGCTAAGAGACGTGGATCTTTCTTTTGATAGAGCAGTTCTGAAAAACACGTTTTGTTGAATCTGCAAGTGGACATTTGGATAGATTTGAAGATTTCGTTGGAAACGGGAATATCTTCATATCAAATCTAGACAGAAGCATTCTCAGAAACGTCTTTGTGATGTTTGCATTCAACTCATAGAGTTGAACATTCCGTTTCAGAGAGCAGCTTTGAAGCACTCTTTTTGTAGTATGTGCAAGTGGATATTTGGAGCGCTCTGAGTCCTACGGGGAAAAAGCAAATATCTTCCCATAACCACTAGACTGAAACATTCTCAGAAACTCCTTTATGACGTATGCACTCACCTAACAGAAACGAACCTTCCTTTTGACAGAGCAGTTTTGATACACTCTTTTTGTAGAATCTGCAAGTGGATATTTGGATAGCTGTGAAGATTTCATTGGAAACGGGAATATCTTCCTATAAAATCTAGACAGAAGCATTCTCAGAAACTGCTCTGTGATGTCTGCATTCAAGTCACAGAGTTGAACATTGCCTTTCATAGAGCAGGTTTGAAATGCTCTTTTTGTAGTATATGGAAGTGGACGTTTCAGACGGTTTGAGGCCCATGGTGATAAAGGGAATATCTTCCCCTGCAAGCTAGAAAGAAAGCATTGTGTGAAACTTGTTTGTGATGTGTGTACTCAACTAACAGAGTTGAACCTTTCTTTTCACAGAGCAGTTTTGAAACACTCTTTTTGTAGAATCTGCGAGGGGATACTTGGATAGATTTCAGGATTTCGTTGGAAACGGGAATATCTTCATATAAAATCTCGACAGAAGCATTCTCAGAAACTTCTTTGTGATATGTGCATTCAAGTCACAGAGTTGAATATTCCCTTTCACAGAGTAGGTTTGAAACACTCTTTTTGTAGTATCTGGAAGTGGACATTTGGAGCGCCTTGACACCTACGGTGAAAAGGGAAGTATCTTCCCATCAAAACTAGACAGAAGCAATCTCAGAATCTTCCTTGGGATATATGCACGCAACTAACAGAGTTGAACCTTTCTATTGACAGAGCAGTTTTGAAACAGTCTTTCTGTGGAATCTGCAAGTGGATATTTGGATAGCTTGGAGGATTTCCTTGGAAACGGGATTACGTATAAAAAGTAGACAGCAGCATCCTCAGAAACTACTTTGTGATGTGTGCATTCAAGTCACAGAGTTGAACATTCCCTTTCGTACAGCAGTTTTGAAACACTCTTTCTGTAGTATCTGGAAGTGAACATTAGGACAGCTTTCAGGTCTATAGTGAGAAAGGATATATCTTCAAATAAAAACTAGACAGAAGCATTCTCATAAACTTGTTTGTGATGTGTGAACTCAGCTAACAGAGGTGGATCTTTCTTTTGATAGAGCAGTTCTCAAAAACACTTTTTGTTGAATCTGCAAGTGGACATTTGGATAGATTTGAAGATTTCGTTGGAAACGGGAATATCTTCATATCAAATCTAGACAGAAGCATTCTCAGAAACGTCTTTGTGATGTTTGCATTCAACTCATAGAGTTGAACATTCCCTTTCAGAGAGCAGCTTTGAAACACTCTTTTTGTAGTATGTGCAAGTGGATATTTGGAGCGCTCTGAGGCCTACGGTGAAAAAGAAAATATCTTCCCATAACCACTAGACAGAAACATTCTCAGAAACTCCTTTATGACGGTATGCACTCACCTAACAGAGAAGAACCTTCCTTTTGACAGAGCAGTTTTGATACACTCTTTTTGTAGAATCTGCAAGTGGATATTTGGATAGCTGTGAAGATTTTGTTGGAAACGGGAATATCTTCCTATAAAATCTAGACAGAAGCATTCTCAGAAACTGCTCTGTGATGTCTGCATTCAAGTCACAGGGTTGAACATTGCCTTTCCTAGAGCAGGTTTGAAACGCTCTTTTTGTAGTATATGGAAGTGGACGTTTCGGACGGTTTGAGGCCCATGGTGATAAAGGGAATATCTTCCCCTACAAGCTAGAAAGAAGCATTCTGTGAAACTTGTTTGTGATGTGTGTACTCAACTAACAGAGTTGAACCTTTCTTTTTACAGAGCAGTTTTGAAACACTCTTTTTGTAGAATCTGCGAGGGGATATTTGGATAGATTTCAGGATTTCTTTGGAAACGGGAATATCTTCATATAAAATCTCGACAAAAGCATTCTCAGAAGCTTCTTTGTGATATGTGCATTCAAGTCACAGAGTTCAATATTCCCTTTCACAGAGTAGGTTTGAAACACTCTTTTTGTAGTATCTGGAAGTGGACATTTGGAGCGCCTTGACGCCTACAGTGAAAAGGGAAATATCTTCTCATAAAAAGTAGACAGAAGCAATCTCAGAATTTTCTTTGGGATATATGCACACAGCGAACTGAGTTGAACTTTTCTATTGACATAGCAGTTTTGAAACAGTCTTTCTGTGGAATCTGCAAGTGGATATTTGGATAGCTTGGAGGATTTCGTTGGAAATGGGATTACGTATAAAAAGTAGACAGCAGCATCCTCAGAAACATCCTTGTGATGTGTGCATTCAAGTCACAGAGTTGAACATTCCCTTTCGAACAGCAGTTTTGAAACACTCTTTCTGTAGTATCTGGAAGTGAACTTTAGGAGAGCTTTCAGGTCTATAGTGAGAAAGGATATATCTTCAAATAAAAACTAGACAGAAGCATTCTCATAAACTTGTTTGTGAAGTGTGAACTCAGCTAACAGAGGTGGATCTTTCTTTTGATAGAGCAGTTCTGAAAAACACTTTTTGTTGAATCTGCAAGTGGACATTTGGATAGATTTGAAGATTTCGTTGGAAACGGGAATATCTTCATATCAAATCTAGACAGAAGCATTCTCGGAAACGTCTTTGTGATGTTTGCATTCAACTCATAGAGTTGAACATTCCGTTTCAGAGAGCAGCTTTGAAGCACTCTTTTTGTAGTATGTGCAAGTGGATATTTGGAGCGCTGTGAGGCCTGCAGTGAAAAAGCAAATATCTTCCCATAACCACTAGACTGAAACATTCTCAGAAACTCCTTTATGACGTATGTACTCAACTAACAGAGAAGAACCTTCCTTTTGACAGAGCAGTTTTGATACACTCTTTTTGTAGAATCTGCAAGTGGATATTTGGATAGCTGTGAAGATTTCATTGGAAACGGGAATATCTTCCTATAAAATCTAGACAGAAGCATTCTCAGAAACTGCTCTGTGATGTCTGCATTCAAGTCACAGAGTTGAACATTGCCTTTCATAGAGCAGGTTTGAAACGCTCTTTTTGTAGTATATGGAAGTAGACGTTTCGGACGGTTTGAGGCCCATGGTGATAAAGGGAATATCTTCCCCTACAAGCTAGAAAGAAGCATTCTGTGAAACTTGTTTGTGATGTGTGTACACAACTAACAGAGTTGAACCTTTCTTTTTACAGAGCAGTTTTGAAACACTCTTTTTGTAGAATCTGCGAGGGGATATTTAGATAGATTTCAGGATTTCGTTGGAAACGGGAATATCTTCATATAAAATCTCGACAGAAGCATTCTCAGAAACTTCTTTGTGATATCTGCATTCAAGTCACAGAGTTGAATATTCCCTTTCACAGAGTAGGTTTGAAACACTCTTTTTGTAGTATCTGGAAGTGGACATTTGGAGCGCCTTGACGCCTACGGTGAAAAGGGAAATATCTTCCCATAAAAACTGGACAGAAGCAATCTCAGAATCTTCTTTGGGATATATGCACACAGCTAACAGAGTTGAACCTTTCTATTGACAGAGCAGTTTTGAAACAGTCTTTCTGTGGAATCTGCAAGTGGATATTTGGATAGCTTGGAGGATTTCGTTGGAAACGGGATTACGTATAAAAAGTAGACAGCAGCATCCTCAGAAACTTCTTTGTGATGTGTGCATTCAAGTCACAGAGTTGAACATTCCCTTTCGTACAGCAGTTTTGAAACACTCTTTCTGTAGTATCTGGAAATGAACATTAGGACAGCTTTCAGCTCTATGGTGAGAAAGGAAATATCTTCAAATAAAAACTAGACAGAAGCATTCTCATAAACTTGTTCGTGATGTGTGAACTCAGCTAAGAGCCGTGGATCTTTCTTTTGATAGAGCAGTTCTGAAAAACACTTTTTGTTGAATCTGCAAGTGGACATTTGGATAGATTTGAAGATTTCGTTGGAAACGGGAATATCTTCATATCAAGTCCAGACAGAAGCATTCTCAGAAACGTCTTTGTGATGTTGGCATTCAACTCATAGAGTTGAACATTCCGTTTCAGAGAGCAGCTTTGAGGCACTCTTTTTGTAGTATGTGCAAGTGGATATTTGGAGCGCTCTGAGGCCTACGGTGAAAAAGCAAATATCTTCCCATAACCACTAGACAGAAACATTCTCAGAAACTCCGTTATGACGTATGCACTCACCTAACAGAGAAGAACCTTCCTTTTGACTGAGCAGTTTTGATACACTCTTTTTGCAGAATCTGCAAGTGGATATTTGGATAACTGTGAAGATTTCGTTGGAAACGGGAATATCTTCCTATAAAATCTAGACAGAAGCATTCTCAGAAACTGCTCTGTGATGTCTGCATTCAAGTCACAGAGTTGAACATTGCCTTTCATGGAGCAGGTTTGAAACGCTCTTTTTGTAGTATATGGAAGTGGACGATTCGGACGGTTTGAGGCCCATGGTGATAAAGGGAATATCTTCCCCTACGAGCTAGAAAGAAGCATTCTGTGAAACTTGTTTGTGATGTGTGCACTCAACTAACAGAGTTGAACCTTTCTCTTTACAGAGCAGTTTTGAAACACTCTTTTTGTAGAATCTGCGAGGGGATATTTGGATACATTTCAGGATTTCGCTGGAAACGGGAATATCTTCATATAAAATCTCGACAGAAGCATTCTCAGAAACTTCTTTGTGATATCTGCATTCAAGTCACAGAGTTGAATATTCCCTTTCACAGAGTAGGTTTGAAACACTCTTTTTGTAGTATCTGGAAGTGGACATTTGGAGCGCCTTGACGTCTACGGTGAAAACGGAAATATCTTCCCATAAAAACTAGACAGAAGCAATCTCAGAATCTTCTTTGGGATATATGCACGCAGCTAATAGAGTTGAACCTTTCTATTGACAGAGCAGTTTTGAAACAGTCTTTCTGTGGAATCTGCAAGTGGATATTTGGATAGCTTGGGGGATTTCTTTGGAAACGGGATTACGTATAAAAAGTAGACAGCAGCATCCTCAGAATCTTCCTTGTGACGTGTGCATTCAAGTCACAGAGTTGAACATTCCCTTTCGTACAGCAGTTTTGAAAAACTCTTTCTGTAGTATCGGGAAGTGAACTTTAGGAGAGCTTTCAGGTCTATAGTGAGAAAGGATATATCTTCAAATAAAAACTAGACAGATTCTTTTGATAGAGCATCAGCTAACAGACGTGGATCTTTCTTTTGATACAGCAGTTTTGAAAAACACTTTTTGTTGAATCTGCAAGTGGACATTTGGATAGATATGAAGATTTCGTTGGAAACGGGAATATCTTCATATCAAATCTAGACAGAAGCATTCTCAGAAACGTCTTTGTGATGTTTGCATTCAACTCATAGAGTTGAACATTCCCTTTCAAAGAGCAGCTTTGAAGCACTCTTTTTGTAGTATGTGCAAGGGGATATTTGGAGCTCTCTGAGGCCTAAGGTGAAAAAGCAAATATCTTCCCATAACCACTAGACAGAAACATTCTCAGAAACTCCTTTATGACGTATGTACTCAACTAACAGAGAAGAACCTTCCTTTTGACAGAGCAGTTTTGATACACTCTTTTTGTAGAATCTGCAAGTGGATATTTGGATAGCTGTGAAGATTTCTTTGGAAACGGGAATATCTTCCTATAAAATCTAGACAGAAGCATTCTCAGAAACTGCTCTGTGATGTCTGCATTCAAGTCACAGAGTTGAACATTGCCTTTCATAGAGCAGGTTTGAAACGCTCTTTTTGTAGTATATGGAAGTGGTCTTTTCGGACGGTTTGAGGCCCATGGTGATAAAGGGAATATCTTCCCCTACAAGCTAGAAAGAAGCATTCTGTGAAACTTGTTTGTGATGTGTGTACTCAACTAACAGAGTTGAACCTTCCTTTTTACAGAGCAGTTTTGAAACACTCTTTTTGTAGAATCTGCGAGGGGATATTTGGATAGATTTCAGGATTTCTTTGGAAACGGGAATATCTTCATATAAAATCTCGACAGAAGCATTCTCAGAAACTTCTTTGTGATATGTGCATTCAAGTCACAGTAGTTGAATATTCCCTTTCACAGAGTAGGTTTGAAACACTCTTTTTGTAGTATCTGGAAGTGGACATTTGAAGCGCCTTGACGCCTACGGTGAAAAGGGAAATATCTTCCCATAAAAACTAGACAGAAGCAATCTCAGAATCTTCTTTGGGATATATGCACGCAGCTAACAGAGTTGAACCTTTCTATTGACAGAGCAGTTTTGAAACATTCTTTCTGTGGAATCTGCAAGTGGATATTTGGATAGCTTGCAGGATTTCGTTGGAAACGGGATTACGTATAAAAAGTAGACAGCAGCATCCTCAGAAACTTCTTTGTGATGTGTGCATTCAAGTCACAGAGTTGAACATTCCCTTTCGTACAGCAGTTTTGAAACACTCTTTCTGTAGTATCTGGAAGTGAACATTAGGACAGCTTTCAGGTCTATGGTGAGAAAGGAAATATCTTCAAATAAAAACTAGACAGCAGCATTCTCATAAACTTGTTTGTGATGTGTGAACTCAGCTAACAGGAGGTGGATCTTTCTTTTGATAGAGCAGTTCTGAAAAACACTTTTTGTTGAATCTGCAAGTGGACATTTGGATAGATTTGAATATTTCGTTGGTAACGGGAATATCTTCATATCAAATCTAGACAGAAGCATTCTCAGAAACGTCTTTGTGATGTTTGCATTCAACTCATAGAGTTGAACATTCCCTTTCAGAGAGCAGCTTTGTGGCACTCTTTTTGTAGTATGTGCAAGTAGATATTTGGAGCGCTCTGAGGCCTACGGTGAAAAAGCAAATATCTTCCCATAACCACTAGACAGAAAACATTCTCAGAAACTCCTTTATGAGGTATGCACTCACCTAACAGAGAAGAACCTTCCTTTTGACAGAGCAGTTTTGATACACTCTTTTTGTAGAATCTGCAAGTGGATATTTGGATACCTGTGAAGATTTCGTTGGAAACGGGAATATCTTCCTATAAAATCTAGACAGAAGCATTCTCAGAAACTGCTCTGTGATGTCTGCATTCAAGTCACAGAGTTGAACATTGCCTTTCATAGAGTATGTTTGAAACGCTCTTTTTGTAGTATATGGAAGTAGACGTTTCGGACGGTTTGAGGCCCATGGTGATAAAGGGAATATCTTCCCCTACAAGCTAGAAAGAAGCATTGTGTGAAACTTGTTTGTGATGTGTGTACTCAACTAACAGAGTTGAACCTTTCTTTTTACAGAGCAGTTTTGAAACACTCTTTTTGTAGAATCTGCGAGGGGATATTTGGATACATTTCAGGATTTCCTTGGAAACGGGAATATCTTCATATAAAATCTCGACAGAAGCATTCTCAGAAACTTCTTTGTGTTATCTGCATTCAAGTCACAGAGTTGAATATTCCCTTTCACAGAGTAGGTTTGAAACACTCTTTTTGTAGTGTCTGGAAGTGGACATTTGGAGCACATTGACACCTACGGTGAAAAGGGAAATATCTTCCCATAAAAACTAGACAGAAGCAATCTCAGAATCTTCTTTGGGTTATATGCACGCAGCTAACAGAGTTGAACCTTTCTATTGACAGAGCAGTTTTGAAACAGTCTTTCTGTGGAATCTGCAAGTGGATATTTGGATAGCTTGGAGGATTTCGTTGGAAACGGGATTACGTATAAAAAGTAGACAGCAGCATCCTCAGAAACTTCTTTGTGATGTGTGCATTCAAGTCACAGAGTTGAACATTCCCTTTCGTACAGCAGTTTTCAAACACTCTTTCTGTAGTAACTGGAAGTGAACATTAGGACAGCTTTCAGCTCTATGGTGAGAAAGGAAATATCTTCAAATAAAAACTAGACAGAAGCATTCTCATAAACTTGTTTGTGATGTCTGAACTCAGCTAACAGAGGTGGATCTTTCTTTTGATAGAGCAGTTCTGAAAAACACTTTTTGTTGAATCTGCAAGTGGACATTTGGATAGATTTGAAGATTTCATTGGAAACGGGAATATCTTCATATCAAATCTAGACAGAAGCATTCTCAGAAACGTCTTTGTGATGTTTGCATTCAACTCATAGAGTTGAACATTCCCTTTCAGAGAGCAGCTTTGAAGCACTCTTTTTGTAGCATGTGCAAGTGGACATTTGGAGCGCCCTGAGGCCTACGGGGAAAAAGGAAATATCTTCCCATAACCACTAGACAGAAACATTCTCAGAAACTCCTTTATGACGTATGCACTCACCTAACAGAGAAGAACCTTCTTTTGACAGAGGAGTTTTGATACACTCTTTTTGTAGAATCTGCAAGTGGATATTTGGATAGCTGTGAAGATTTCGTTGGAAACGGGAATATCTTCCTATAAAATCTAGACAGAAGCATTCTCAGAAACAGCTCTGTGATGTCTGCATTCAAGTCACAGAGTTGAACATTGCCTTTCATAGAGCAGGTTTGAAACGCTCTTTTTGTAGTATATGGAGGTGGACGTTTCGGACGGTTTGAGACCCATGGTGATAAAGGGAATATATTCCCCTACAAGCTAGAAAGAAGCACTCTGTGAAACTTGTTTGTGATGTGTGTACTCAACTAACAGTGTTGAACCTTTCTTTTTACAGAGCAGTTTTGAAACACTCTTTTTGTAGAATCTGCGAGGGGATATTTGGATAGATTTCAGGATTTCGTTGGAAACGGGAATATCTTCATATAAAATCTCGACAGAAGCATTCTCAGAAACTTCCTTGTGATATGTGCATTCAAGTCACAGAGTTGAATATTCCCTTTCACAGAGTAGGTTTGAAACACTCTTTTTGTAGTATCTGGAAGTGGACATTTAGAGCGCCTTGACGCCTACGGTGAAAAGGGAAATATCTTCCCATAAAAACTAGACAGAAGCAATCTCAGAATCTTCTTTGGGATATATGCACGCAGCTAACAGAGTTGAACCTTTCTATTGACAGAGCAGTTTTGAAACAGTCTTTCTGTGGAATCTGCAAGTGGATATTTGGATAGATTGGAGGATTTCTTTGGAAACGGGATTAGGTATAAAAAGTAGACAGCAGCATCCTCAGAAACTTCTCTGTGATGTGTGCATTCAAGTCACAGAGTTGAACATTCCCTTTCGTACAGCAGTTTTGAAACACTCTTTCTGTAGTATCTGGAAGTGAACATTAGGACAGCTTTCAGCTCTATGGTGAGAAAGGAAATATCTTCAAATAAAAACTAGACAGAAGCATTCTGATAAACTTGTTTGTGAAGTGTGAACTCAGCTAACAGAGGTGGATCTTTCTTTTGATAGAGCAGTTCTGAAAAACACTTTTTGTTGAATCTGCAAGTGGACATTTGGATAGATTTGAAGATTTCGTTGGAAACGGGAATATCTTCATATCAAATCTAGACAGAAGCATTCTCGGAAACGTCTTGGTCATGTTTGCATTCAACTCATAGAGTTGAACATTCCCTTTCAGAGAGCAGCTTTGAAGCACTCTTTTTGTAGTATGTGCAAGGGGATATTTGGAGCGCTCTGAGGCCTAAGGTGAAAAAGCAAATATCTTCCCATAACCACTAAACAGAAACATTCTCAGAAACTCCTTTATGACGTATGCACTCACCTAACAGAAAAGAACCTTCCTTTTGACAGAGCAGTTTTGATACACTCTTTTTGTAGAACCTGCAAGTGGATATTTGGATAGCTGTGAAGATTTCGTTGGAAACGGGAATATCTTCCTATAAAATCTAGACAGAAGCATTCTCAGAAACTGCTCTGTGATGTCTGCATTCAACTCACAGAGTTGAACATTGCCTTTCATAGAGCAGGTTTGAAACGCTCTTTTTGTAGTATATGGAAGTGGACGTTTCAGACGGTTTGAGGCCCATGGTGATAAAGGGAATATCTTCCCCTACAAGCTAGAAAGAAGCATTCTGTGAAACTTGTTTGTGATGTGTGTACTCAACTAACAGAGTTGAACCTTTCTTTTTCCAGAGCAGTTTTGAAACACTCTTTTTGTAGAATCTGCGAGGGGATATTTGGATACATTTCAGGATTTCGTTGGAAACGGGAATATCTTCATATAAAATCTCGACAGAAGCATTCTCAGAAAACTTCTTTGTGATATGTGCATTCAAGTCAGAGAGTTGAATATTCCCTTTCACAGAGTAGGTTTGAAACACTCTTTCTGTAGTATCTGGAAGTGGACATTTTGAGCACCTTGACGCCTACGGTGAAAAGGGAAATATCTTCTCATAAAAAGTAGACAGAAAGCAATCTCAGAATCTTCTTTGGGATATATGCACGCAGCTAACAGAGTTGAACATTTCTATTGACAGAGCAGTTTTGAAACAGTCGTTCTGTGGAATCTGCAAGTGGATATTTCGATAGCTTGGAGGATTTCGTTGGAAACGGGATTACGTATCAAAAGTACACAGCAGCATCCTCAGAAACTACTTTGTGATGTGTGCATTCAAGTCACAGAGTTGAACATTCCCTTTCGTACAGCAGTTTTGAAACACTCTTTCTGTAGTATCTGGAAGTGAACATTAGGACAGCTTGCAGGTCTATGGTGAGAAGGGAAATATCTTCAAATAAAAACTAGACAGAAGCATTCTCATAAACTTGTTTGTGATGTGTGAACTCAGCTAACAGACGTGAATCTTTCTTTTGATACAGCAGTTTTAAAAACACTTTTTGTTGAATCTGCAAGTGGACATTTGGATAGATTTGAAGATTTCGTTGGAAACGGGAATATCTTCATATCAAATCTAGACAGAAGCATTCTCAGAAACGTTTTTGTGATGTTTGCATTCAACTCATAGAGTTGAACATTCCCTTTCAGAGAGCAGCTTTGAAGCACTCTTTTTGTAGCATGTGCAAGTGGACATTTGGAGCGCCCTGAGGCCTACGGGGAAAAAGCAAATATCTTCCCATAACCACTAGACAGAAACATTCTCAGAAACTCCTTTATGACGTATGCACTCACCTAACAGAGAAGAACCTTCCTTTTGACAGAGCAGTTTTGATACACTCTTTTTGTAGAATCTGCAAGTGGATATTTGGATAGCTGTAAAGATTTCGTTGGAAACGGGAATATCTTCCTATAAAATCTAGACAGAAGCATTCTCAGAAACTGCTCTGTGATGTCTGCATTCAAGTGACAGAGTTGAACATTGCCTTTCATAGAGCAGGTTTCAAACACTCTTTTTTTAGTATATGGAAGTGGACGTTTCGGACGGTTTGAGAACCATGGTGATAAAGGAAATATCTTCCCCTACAAGCTAGAAAGAAGCATTGTGTGAAACTTGTTTGTGATGTGTGTACTCAACTAACAGAGTTGAACCTTTCTTTTTACAGAGCAGTTTTGAAACACTCTTTTTGTATAATCTGCGAGGGGATATTTGGATACATTTCAGGATTTCGTTGGAAACGGGAATATCTTCATATAAAATCTCGACAGAAGCATTCTCAGAAGCTTCTTTGTGATATGTGCATTCAAGTCACACAGTTGAATATTCCCTTTCACAGAGTAGGTTTGAAACACTCTTTTTGTAGTATCTGGAAGTGGACATTTGGAGCGCCTTGACGCCTACGGTGAAAAGGGAAATATCTTCTCATAAAAAGTAGACAGAAGCAATCTCAGAATCTTCTTTGGGATGTATGCACGCAGCTAACAGAGTTGAACCTTTCTATTGACAGAGCAGTTTTGAAACAGTCTTTTTGTGGAATCTGCAAGTGGATATTTGGATAGCTTGGAGGATTTCGTTGGAAACGGGATTACGTATAAAAAGTAGACAGCAGCATCCTCAGAAACTTCTTTGTGATGTGTGCATTGAAGTCACAGAGTTGAACATTCCCTTTCGTACAGCAGTTTTGAAACACTCTTTCTGTAGTATCTGGAAGTGAACATTAGGACAGCTTTCAGGTCTATGGTGAGAAAGGAAATATCTTCAAATAAAAACTAGACAGAAGCATTCTCATAAACTTGTTTGTGATGTGTGAACTCAGCTAAGAGACCTGGATCTTTCTTTTGATAGAGCAGTTCTGAAAAACACTTTTTGTTGAATCTGCAAGTGGACATTTGGATAGATTTGAAGATTTCTTTGGAAACGGGAATATCTTCATATCAAATCTAGACAGAAGCATTCTCAGAAACGTCTTTGTGATGTTTGCATTCAACCCATAGAGTTGAACATTCCGTTTCAGAGAGCAGCTTTGAAGCACTCTTTTTGTAGTATGTGCAAGGGGATATTTGGAGCGCTCTGAGGCCTAAGGTGAAAAAGCAAATATCTTCCCATAACCACTAGACAGAAACATTCTCAGAAACTCCTTTATGACGTATGTACTCAACTAACAGAGAAGAACCTTCCTTTTGACAGAGCAGTTTTGATACACTCTTTTTGTAGAATCTGCAAGTGGATATTTGGATAGCTGTGAAGATATCGTTGGAAACGGGAATATCTTCCTATAAAATCTAGACAGAAGCATTCTCAGAAACTGCTCTGTGATGTCTGCATTCAAGTCACAGAGTTGAACATTGCTTTTCATAGAGCAGGTTTGAAACGTTCTTTTTGTAGTATATGGAAGTAGACGTTTCGGACGCTTTGAGGCCCATGGTGATAAAGGGAATATCTTCCCCTACAAGCTAGAAAGAAGCATTCTGTGAAACTTGTTTGTGATGTGTGTACTCAACTAACAGAGTTGAACCTTTCTTTTTACAGAGCAGTTTTGAAACACTCTTTTTGTAGAATCTGCGAGGGGATATTTGGATAGATTTAGGATTTCGTTGGAAACGGGAATATCTTCATATAAAATCTCGACAGAAGCATTCTCAGAAACTTCTTTGTGATATCTGCCTTTAAGTCACAGAGTTGAATATTCCCTTTCACAGAGTAGGTTTGAAACACTCTTTTTGTAGTATCTGGAAGTGGACATTTGGAGCGCATTGACGCCTACGGTGAAAAGGGAAATATCTTCCCATAAAAACTAGACAGAAGCAATCTCAGAATTTTCTTTGGGATATATGCACACAGCTAACAGAGTTGAACTTTTCTATTGACATAGCAGTTTTGAAACAGTCTTTCTGTGGAATCTGCAAGTGGATATTTGGATAGCTTGGAGGATTTCGTTGGAAATGGGATTACGTATAAAAAGTAGACAGCAGCATCCTCAGAAACTTCTTTGTGATGTGTGCATTCAAGTCACAGAGTTGAACATTCCCTTTCGTACAGCAGTTTTGAAACACTCTTTCTGTAGTGTCTGGAAGTGAACATTAGGACAGCTTTCAGGTCTATGGTGAGAAAGGAAATATCTTCAAATAAAAACTAGACAGAAGCATTCTCATAAACTTGTTTGTGATGTGTGAACTCAGCTAAGAGACGTGGATCTTTCTTTTGATAGAGCAGTTCTGAAAAACACGTTTTGTTGAATCTGCAAGTGGACATTTGGATAGATTTGAAGATTTCGTTGGAAACGGGAATATCGTCATATCAAATCTAGACAGAAGCATTCTCGGAAACGTCTTTGTCATGTTTGCATTCAACTCATAGAGTTGAACATTCCGTTTCAGAGAGCAGCTTTGAAGCACTCTTTTTGTAGTATGTGCAAGTGGATATTTGGATCGCTCTGAGGCCTAAGGTGAAAAAGCAAATATCTTCCCATAACCACTAGACAGAAACATTCTCAGAAACTCCTTTATGACGTATGCACTCACCCAACAGAGAAGAACCTTCCTTTTGACAGAGCAGTTTTGATACACTCTTTTTGTAGAATCTGCAAGTGGATATTTGGATAGCTGTGAAGATTTCGTTGGAAACGGGAATATCTTCCTATAAAATCTAGACAGAAGCATTCTCAGAAACTGCTCTGTGATATCTGTATTCAAGTCACAGAGTTGAACATTGCCTTTCATAGAGCAGGTTTGAAACGCTCTTTTTGTAGTATATGTAAGTGGATGTTTCGGACGGTTGGAGGCCCATGGTGATAAAGGGAATATCTTCCCCTACAAGCTAGAAAGAAGCATTCTGTGAAACTTGTTTGTGATGTGTGTACTCAACTAACAGAGTTGAACCTTTCTTTTTACAGAGCAGTTTTGAAACACTCTTTTTGTAGAATCTGCGGGGGGATATTTGGATAGATTTCAGGATTTCGTTGGAAACGGGAATATCTTCATATAAAATCTCGACAGAAGCATTCTCAGAAACTTCTTTGTGATATCTGCATTCAGGTCACAGAGTTGAATATTCCCTTTCACCGAGTAGGTTTGAAACATTCTTTTTGTAGTATCTGGAAGTGGACATTTGGAGCGCCATGACGCCTACGGTGAAAAGGGAAATATCTTCCCATAAAAACTAGACAGAAAGCAATCTCAGAATCTTCTTTGGGATATATGCACGCAGCTAACAGAGTTGAACCTTTCTATTGACAGAGCAGTTTTGAAACAGCCTTTCTGTGGAATCTGCAAGTGGATATTTGGATAGCTTGGAGGATTTCGTTGGAAACGGGATTACGTATAAAAAGTAGACAGCAGCATCCTCAGAAACTTCTTTGTGACGTGTGCATTCAAGTCACAGAGTTGAACATTCCCTTTCGTACAGCAGTTTTGAAACACTCTTTCTGTAGTATCTGGAAGTGAACATTAGGACAGCTTTCAGCTCTATGGTGAGAAAGGAAATATCTTCAAATAAAAACTAGACAGAAGCATTCTCATTAACTTGTTTGTGATGTGTGAACTCAGCTAACAGAGGTGGATCTTTCTTTTGATAGAGCAGTTCTGAAAAACATTTTTTGTTGAATCTGCAAGTGGACATTTAGATAGATTTGAAGATTTCGTTGGAAACGGGAATATCTTCATATCAAATCTAGACAGAAGCCTTCTCAGAGACGTCTTTGTGATGTTTGCATTCAACTCATAGAGTTGAACATTCCGTTTCAGAGAGCAGCTTTGAGGCACTCTTTTTGTAGTATGTGCAAGTGGATATTTGGAGCGCTCTGAGGCCTACGGTGAAAAAGCAAATATCTTCCCATAACCACTAGACAGAAACATTCTCAGAAACTCCTTTACGACGTATGCACTCACCTAACAGAGAAGAACCTTCCTTTTGACAGAGCAGTTTTGATACACTCTTTTTGTAGAATCTGCAAGTGGATATTTGGATAGCTGTGAAGATTTCGTTGGAAACGGGAATATCTTCCTATAAAATCTAGACAGAAGCATTTTCAGAAACTGCTCTGTGATGTCTGCATTCAAGTCACAGAGTTGAACATTGCCTTTCATAGAGCAGGTTTGAAACGCTCTTTTTGTAGTATATGGAAGTGGATGTTTCGGACGGTTGGAGGCCCATGGTGATAAAGGGAATATCTTCCCCTACAAGCTAGAAAGAAGCATTCTGTGAAACTTGTTTGTGATATGTGCACTCAACTAACAGAGTTGAACCTTTCTTTTTACAGAGCAGTTTTGAAACACTCTTTCTGTAGAATCTGCGAGGGGATATTTGGATAGATTTCAGGATTTCGTTGGAAACGGGAATATCTTCATATAAAATCTCGACAGAAGCATTCTCCGAAACCTCTTTGTGATATATGCATTGAAGTTACAGAGTTGAATATTCCCTTTCACATAGCAGGTTTGAAACACTCTTTTTGTAGTATCTGGAAGTGGACATTGGGAGCGCTTTGACGCCAATGGTGAAAAAGGAAATATCTTCCCATAAAAACTACACAGAAGCAATCTCAGAATCTTCTTTGGGATATATGCACGCAGTTAACAGAGTTGAACCTTTCTATTGACAGAGCAGTTTTGAAACAGTCTTTCTGTGGAATCTGCAAGTGGATATTTGGATAGCTTGGAGGATTTCGTTGGAAACGGGATTACGTATAAAAAGTAGACAGCAGCATCCTCAGAAACTTCTTTGTGATGTGTGCATTCAAGTCACAGAGTTGAACATTCCCCTTCGTACAGCAGTTTTGAAACACTCTTTGTGTATTATCTGGGAGTGAACATTAGGACAGCTTTCAGGTCTATGGTGAGAAAGGAAATATCTTCAAATAAAAACTAGACAGAAGCATTCTCATAAACTTGTTTGTGATGTGTGAACTCAGCTAACAGACGTGGATCTTTCTTTTGATACAGCAGTTTTGAAAAACACTTTTTGTTGAATCTGCAAGTGGACATTTGGATAGATATGAAGATTTCGTTGGAAACGGGAATATCTTCATATCAAATCTAGACAGAAGCATTCTCAGAAACGTCTTTGTGATGTTTGCATTCAACTCATAGAGTTGAACATTCCGTTTCCAAGAGCAGCTTTGAGGCACTCTTTTTGTAGTATGTGCAAGTGGATATTTGGAGCGCTCTGAGGCCTACGGTGAAAAAGCAAATATCTTCCCATAACCACTAGACAGAAACATTCTCAGAAACTCCTTTATGACGTATGTACTCAACTAACAGAGAAGAACCTTCCTTTTGACAGAGCAGGTTTGATACACTCTTTTTGTAGAATCTGCAAGTGGATATTTGGATAGCTGTGAAGATTTCGTTGGAAACGGGAATATCTTCCTATAAAATCCAGACAGAAGCATTCTCAGAAACTGCTCTGTGATGTCTGCATTCAAGTCACAGAGTTGAACATTGCCTTTCCTAGAGCAGGTTTGAAACGATCTTTTTGTAGTATATGGAAGTGGACGTTTCGGACGGTTTGAGGCCCATGGTGATAAAGGGAATATCTTCCCCTACAAGCTAGAAAGAAGCATTCTGTGAAACTTGTTTGTGATGTGTGTACTCAACTAACAGAGTTGAACCTTTCTTTTTACAGAGCAGTTTGGAAACACTCTTTTTGTAGAATCTGCGAGGGGATATTTGGATAGATTTCAGGATTTCGTTGGAAACGGGAATATCTTCATATAAAATCTCGACAGAAGCATTCTCAGAAACTTCTTTGTGATATCTGCATTCAAGTCACAGAGTTGAATATTCCCTTTCACAGAGTAGGTTTGAAACACTCTTTTTGTAGTATCTGGAAGTGGACATTTGGAGCGCCTTGACGCCTACGGTGAAAAGGGAAATATCTTCCCATAAAAACTAGACAGAAGCAATCTCAGGAATCTTCTTTGGGATATATGCACGCAGCTAACAGAGTTGAACCTTTCTATTGACAGAGCAGTTTTGAAACAGTCTTTCTGTGGAATCTGCAAGTGGATATTTGGATAGCTTGGAGGATTTCGTTGGAAACGGGATTAAGTATAAAAAGTAGACAGCAGCATCCTCAGAAACTTCTTTGTGCGGTGTGCATTCAAGTCACAGAGTTGAACATTCCCTTTCGTACAGCAGTTTTGAAACACTCTTTCTGTAGTATCTGGAAGTGAACATTAGGACAGCTTTCAGGTCTATGGTGAGAAAGGAAATATCTTCAAATAAAAACTAGACAGAAGCATTCTCATAAACTTGTTTGTGATGTGTGAACTCAGCTAACAGAGGTGGATCTTTCTTTTGATAGAGCAGTTCTGAAAAACACTTTTTGTTGATTATGCAAGTGGACATTTGGATAGATTTGAAGATTTCGTTGGAAACGGGAATATCTTCATATCAAATGTAGACAGAAGCATTCTCAGAAACGTCTTTGTGATGTTTGCATTCAACTCACAGAGTTGAACATTCCGTTTCAGAGAGCAGCTTTGAAGCACTCTTTTTGTAGTATGTGCAAGTGGATATTTGGAGCGCTCTGAGGCCTACGGTGAAAAAGCAAATATCTTCCCATAACCACTAGACAGAAACATTCTCAGAAACTCCTTTATGACGTATGCACTCACCTAACAGAGAAGAACCTTCCTTTTGACAGAGCAGTTTTGATACACTCTTTTTGTAGAATCTGCAAGTGGATATTTGGATAGCTGTGAAGATTTCGTTGGAAACGAGAATATCTTCCTATAAAATCTAGACAGAAGCATTCTCAGAAACTGCTCTGTGATGTCTGCATTCAAGTCACAGAGTTGAACATTGCTTTTCATAGAGCAGGTTTGAAACGCTCTTTTTGTAGTATATGGAAGTAGACGTTTCGGACGGTTTGAGGCCCATGGTGATAAAGGGAATATCTTCCCCTACAAGCTAGAAAGAAGCATTCTGTGAAACTTGTTTGTGATGTGTGTACTCAACTAACAGAGTTGAACCTTTCTTTTTACAGAGCAGTTTTGAAACACTCTTTTTGTAGAATCTGCGAGGGGATATTTTGATACATTTCAGCATTTCGTTGGAAACGGGAATATCTTCATATAAAATCTCGACAGAAGCATTCTCAGAAACTTCCTTGTGATATGTGCATTCAAGTCACAGAGTTGAATATTCCCTTTCACAGAGTAGGTTTGAAACACTCTTTTTGTAGTATCTGGAAGTGGTCATTTGGAGCGCCTTGACGCCTACGGTGAAAAGGGAAATATCTTCCCATAAAAACTAGACAGAAGCAATCTCAGAATCTTCTTTGTGATATATGCACGCAGCTAACAGAGTTGAACCTTTCTATTGACTGAGCAGATTTGAAACAGTCTTTCTGTGGAATCTGCAAGTGGATATTTGGATAGATTGGAGGATTTCGTTGGAAACGGAATTACGTATAAAAAGTAGACAGCAGCATCCTCAGAAACTTCTTTGTGATGTGTGCATTCAAGTCACAGAGCTGAACATTCCCTTTCGTACAGCAGTTTTGAAACACTCTTTCTGTAGTATCTGGAAGTGAACATTAGGACAGCTTTCAGGTCTATGGTGAGAAAGGAAATATCTTCAAATAAAAACTAGACAGAAACATTCTCATAAACTTGTTTGTGATGTGTGAACTGAGCTAACAGAGGTGGATCTTTCTTTTGATAGAGCAGTTCGGAAAAACACTTTTTGTTGAATCTGCAAGTGGACATTTGGATAGATTTGAAGATTTCGTTGGAAACGGGAATATCTTCATATCAAATCTAGACAGAAGCATTCTCAGAAACGTCTTTGTGATGTTTGCATTCAACTCATAGAGTTGAACATTCCCTTTCAGAGAGCAGCTTTGAAGCACTCTTTTTGTAGCATGTGCAAGTGGACATTTGGAGCGCTCTGAGGCCTACGGTGAAAAAGCAAATATCTTCCCATAACCACTAGACAGAAACATTCTCAGAAACTCCTTTATGAAGTATGCACTCACCTAACAGAGAAGAACCTTCCTTTTGACAGAGCAGTTTTGATAAACTCTTTTTGTAGAATCTGCAAGTGGATATTTGGATAGCTGTGAAGATTTCGTTGGAAACGGGAATATCTTCCTATAAAATCTAGACAGAAGCATTCTCAGAAACTGCTCTGCGATGTCTGCATTCAAGTCACAGAGTTGAACATTGCTTTTCATAGAGCAGGTTTGAAGCGCTCTTTTTGTAGTATATGGAAGTAGACGTTTCGGACGGTTTGAGGCCCATGGTGATAAAGGGAATATCTTCCCCTACAAGCTAGAAAGAAGCATTCTGAGAAACTTGTTTGTGATGTGTGTACTCAACTAAGAGAAGTGAACCTTTCTTTTTACAGAGCAGTTTTGAAACACTCTTTTTCTAGAATCTGCGAGGGGATATTTGGATAGATTTCAGAATTTCGTTGTAAACGGGAATATCTTCATATAAAATCTCGACAGAAGCATTCTCAGGAAACTTCTTTGTGATATCTGCATTCAAGTCACAGAGTTGAATATTCCCTTTCACAGAGTAGGTTTGAAACACTCTTTTTGTAGTATCTGGAAGTGGACATTTGGAGCACCTTGACACCTACGGTGAAAAGGGAAATATCTTCCCATAAAAACTAGACAGAAGCAATCTCAGAATCTTCTTTGGGATATATGCACGCAGCTAACAGAGTTGAACCTTTCTATTGACAGAGCAGTTTTGAAACACTCTTTCTGTGGAATCTGCAAGTGGATATTTGGATAGCTTGGAGGATTTCGTTGGAAACGGGATTACGTATAAAAAGTAGACAGCAGCATCCTCAGAAACTTCTTTGTGATGTGTGCATTCAAGTCACAGAGTTGAACATTCCCTTTCGTACAGCAGTTTTGAAACACTCTTTCTGTAGTATCTGGAAGTGAACATTAGGACAGCTTTCAGGTCGATGGTGAGAAAGGAAATATCTTCAAATAAAAACTAGATAGAAGCATTCTCATAAACTTGTTTGTGATGTGTGAACGCAGCTAACACACGTGGATCTTTCTTTTGATAGAGCAGTTCTGAAAAACACTTTTTGTTGAATCTGCAAGTGGACATTTGGATAGATTTGAAGATTTCGTTGGAAACGGGAATATCTTCATATCAAATCTAGACAGAAAGCATTCTCAGAAACGTCTTTGCGATGTTTGCATTCAACTCATAGAGTTGAACATTCCGTTTCAGAGAGCAGCTTTGAGGCACTCTTTTTGTAGTATGTGCAAGTGGATATTTGGAGCGCTCTGAGGCCTACGGTGAAAAAGCAAATATCTTCCCATAACCACTAGACAGAAACATTCTCAGAAACTCCTTTATGACGTATGCACTCACCTAACAGAGAAGAACCTTCCTTTTGACAGAGCAGTTTTGATACACTCTTTTTGTAGAATCTGCAAGTGGATATTTGGATAGCTGTGAAGATTTCGTTGGAAACGGAAATATCTTCCTATAAAATCTAGACAGAAAGCATTCTCAGAAACTGCTCTGTGATGTCTGCATTCAAGTCACAGAGTTGAACATTGCCTTTCATAGAGCAGGTTTGAAACGCTCTTTTTGTAGTATATGGAAGTAGACGTTTCGGACGGTTTGAGGCCCATGGTGATAAAGGGAATATCTTCCCCTACAAGCTAGAAAGAAGCATTCTGTGAAACTTGTTTGTGATGTGTGTACTCAAGTAACAGAGTTCAACCTTTCTTTTTACAGAGCAGTTTTGAAACACTCTTTTTGTAGAATCTGCGAGGGGATATTTGGATAGATTTCAGGATTTCGTTGGAAACGGGAATATCTTCATATAAAATCTCGACAGAAGCATTCTCAGAAACTTCTTTGTGATATCTGCATTCAAGTCACAGAGTTGAATATTCCCTTTCACAGAGTAGGTTTGAAACACTCTTTTTGTAGTGTCTGGAAGTGGACATTTGGAGCACATTGACAACTACGGTGAAAAGGGAAATATCTTCCCATAAAAACTAGACAGAAGCAATCTCAGAATCTTCTTTGGGATATATGCACGCAGCTAAGAGAGTTGAACCTTTCTATTGACAGAGCAGTTTTGTAACAGTCTTTCTGTGGAATCTGCAAGTGGATATTTGGATAGCTTGGAGGATTTCGTTGGAAACGGGATTACCTATAAAAAGTAGACAGCAGCATCCTCAGAAACTTCTTTGTGATGTGTGCATTCAAGTCACAGAGTTGAACATTCCCTTTCGTACAGCAGTTTTGAAAAACTCTTTCTGTAGTGTCTGGAAGTGAACATTAGGACAGCATTCAGGTCTATGGTGAGAAAGGAAATATCTTCAAATAAAAACTACACAGAAGCATTCTCATAAACTTGTTTGTGATGTGTGAACTCAGCTAAGAGACGTGGATCTTTCTTTTGATAGAGCAGTTCTGAAAAACACTTTTTGTTGAATCTGCAAGTGGACATTTGGATAGATTTGAAGATTTCTTTGGAAATGGGAATATCTTCATATCAAATCTAGAGAGAAGCATTCTCAGAAACGTCTTTGTCATGTTTGCATTCAACTCATAGAGTTGAACATTCCCTTTCAGAGAGCAGCTTTGAAACACTCTTTTTGTAGTATGTGCAAGTGGATATTTGGAGCGCTCTGAGGCCTACGGTGAAAAAGAAAATATCTTCCCATAACCACTAGACAGAAACTTTCTCAGAAACTCCTTTATGACGTATGTACTCAACTAACAGAGAAGAACCTTCCTTTTGAGAGAGCAGTTTTGATACACTCTTTTTGTAGAAACTGCAAGTGGATATTTGGATAGCTGTGAAGATTTCGTTGGAAACGGGAATATCTTCCTATAAAATCTAGACAGAAGCATTCTCAGAAACTGCTCTGTGATGTCTGCATTCAAGTCACAGAGTTGAACATTGCCTTTCATAGAGCAGGTTTGAAATGCTCTTTTCGTAGTATATGGAAGTGGACTTTTCGGACGGTTTGAGGCCCATGGTGATAAAGGGAATATCTTCCCCTACAAGCTAGAAAGAAGCATTCTGTGAAACTTTTTTGTGATGTGTGTACTCAACTAACAGAGTTGAACCTTTCTTTTTACAGAGCAGTTTTGAAACACTCTTTTTGTAGAATCTGCGAGGGGATATTTGGATAGATTTCAGGATTTCGTTCGAAACGGGAATATCTTCATATAAAATCTCGACAGAAGCATTCTCAGAAGCTTCTTTGTGATATGTGCATTCAAGTCACAGAGTTGAATATTCCCGTTCACAGAGTAGGTTTGAAACACTCTTTTTGTAGTATCTGGAAGTGGACATTTGGAGCGCCCTGACGCCTACGGTGAAAAGGAAAATATCTTCTCATAAAAAGTAGACAGATAAGCAATCTCAGAATCTTCTTTGGGATATATGCACGCAGCTAACAGAGTTGAACCTTTCTATTGACAGAGCAGTTTTGAAACAGTCTTTCTGTGGAATCTGCAAGTGGATATTTGGATAGCTTGGAGGATTTCGTTGGAAACGGGATTACGTATAAAAAGTAGACAGCAGCATCCTGAGAAACTTCCTTGTGATGTGTGCATTCAAGTCACAGAGTTGAACATTCCCTTTCGTACAGCAGTTTTGAAACACTCTTTCTGTAGTATCTGGAAGTGAACATTAGGACAGCGTTTCAGGTCTATGGTGAGAAAGGAAATATCTTCAAATAAAAACTAGACAGAAGCATTCTCATAAACTTGTTCGTGATGTGTGAACTCAGCTAAGAGCCGTGGATCTTTCTTTTGATAGAGCAGTTCTGAAAAACACTTTTTGTTGAATCTGCAAGTGGACATTTGGATAGATTTGAAGATTTCTTTGGAATCGGGAATATCTTCATATCAAATCTAGACAGAAGCATTCTCAGAAACGTCTTTGTGATGTTTGCATTCAACTCATAGAGTTAAACATTCCGTTTCAGAGAGCAGCTTTGAAGCACTCTTTTTGTAGTATGTGCAAGTGGATATTTGGAGCGCTCTGAGGCCTACGGTGAAAAAGCAAATATCTTCCCATAACCACTAGACAGAAACATTCTCAGAAACTCCTTTATGACGTATGCACTCACCTAACAGAGAAGAACCTTCCTTTTGACAGAGCAGTTTTGATACACTCTTTTTGTAGAATCTGCAAGTGGATATTTGGATACCTGTGAAGATTTCGTTGGAAACGGGAATAACTTCCTATAAAATCTAGACAGAAGCATTCTCAGAAACTGCTCTGTGATGTCTGCATTCAAGTCACAGAGTTGAACATTGCCTTTCATAGAGCAGGTTTGAAACGCTCTTTTTGTAGTATATGGAAGTGGATGTTTCGGACGGTTGGAGCCCCATGGTGATAAAGGGAATATCTTCCCCTACAAGCTAGAAAGAAGCATTCTGTGAAACTTGTTTGTGATGTGTGTACTCAACTAACAGAGTTGAACCTTTCTTTTCACAGAGCAGTTTTGAAACACTCTTTTTGTAGAATCTGCGAGGGGATATTTGGATAGATTTCAGGATTTCGTTGGAAACGGGAATATCTTCATATAAAATCTCGACAGAAGCATTCTCAGAAACTTCATTGTGATATGCGCATTCTAGTCACAGAGTTGAATATTCCCTTTCACAGAGTAGGTTTGAAACACTCTTTTTGTAGTATCTGGAAGTGGACATTTGGAGCGCCTTGACGCCTACGGTGAAAAGGGAAATATCTTCCCATAAAAAGTAGACAGAAGCAATCTCAGAATCTTCTTTGGGATATATGCACGCAGCTAACAGAGTTGAACCTTTCTATTGACAGAGCAGTTTTGAAACAGTCTTTCTGTGGAATCTGCAAGTGGATATTTGGATAGCTTGGAGGATTTCGTTGGAAACGGGAGTACGTATAAAAAGTAGACAGCAGCATCCTCAGAAACTTCTTTGTGAGGTGTGCATTCAAGTCACAGAGTTGAACATTCCCTTTCGTGCAGCAGTTTTGAAACACTCTTTCTGTAGTATCTGGAAGTGAACATTAGGACAGCTTTCAGGTCTATGGTGAGAAAGGAAATATCTTCAAATAAAAACTAGACAGAAGCATTCTCATAAACTTGTTTGTGATGTCTGAACTCAGCTAACAGAGGTGGATCTTTCTTTTGATAGAGCAGTTCTGAAAAACACTTTCTGTTGAATCTGCAAGTGGACATTTGGATAGATTTGAAGATTTCGTTGGAAACGGGAAGATCTTCATATCAAATCTAGACAGAAGCATTCTCAGAAACGTCTTTGTGATGTTTGCATTCAAATCATAGAGTTGAACATTCCCTTTCAGAGAGCAGCTTTGAAGCATTCTTTTTGTAGTATGTGCAAGGGGATATATGGAGCGCTCTGAGGCCTAAGGTGAAAAAGCAAATATCTTCCCATAACCACTAGACAGAAACATTCTCAGAAACTCCTTTATGACGTATGCACTCACCTAACAGAGAAGAACCTTCCTTTTGACAGAGCACTTTTGATACACTCTTTTTGTAGAATCTGAAAGTGGATATTTGGATAGCTGTGAAGATTTCGTTGGAAACGGGAATATCTTCCTATAAATTCTAGACAGAAGCATTCTCAGAAACTGCTCTGTGATGTCTGCATTCAAGTCACAGAGTTGAACATTGCCTTTCCTAGAGCAGGTTTGAAACGCTCTTTTTGTAGTATATGGAAGTGGACGTTTCGGACGGTTTGAGGCCCACGGTGATAAAGGGAATATCTTCCCCTACAAGCTAGAAAGAAGCATTCTGTGAAACTTGTTTGTGATGTGTGTACTCAAGTAACAGAGTTGAACCTTTCTTTTTACAGAGCAGTTTTGAAACACTCTTTCTGTAGAATCTGCGAGGGGATATTTGGATACATTTCAGGATTTCGTTGGAAACGGGAATATCTTCATAGAAAATCTCGACAGAAGCATTCTCAGAAACTTCTTTGTGATATGTGCATTAAAGTCACAGAGTTGAATATTCCCTTTCACAGAGTAGGTTTGAAACACTCTTTTTGTAGTATCTGGAAGTGGACATTTGGAGCGCCTTGACGCCCTACGGTGAAAAGGGAAATATCTTCCCATAAAAACTAGACAGAAGCAATCTCAGAATCTTCTTTGGGATATATGCACGCAGCTAACAGAGTTGAACCTTTCTATTGACAGAGCAGTTTTGAAACAGTCTTTCTGTGGAATCTGCAAGTGGATATTTGGATAGCTTGGAGGATTTCGTTGGAAACGGGATTAAGTATAAAAAGTAGACAGCAGCATCCTCAGAAACTTCTTTGTGATGTGTGCATTCAAGTCACAGAGTTGAGCATTCCCTTTCGTACAGCAGTTTTCAAACACTCTTTCTGTAGTAACTGGAAGTGAACATTAGGACAGCTTTCAGGTCTATGGTGAGAAAGGAAATATCTTCAAATAAAAACTAGACAGAAGCATTCTGATAAACTTGTTTGTGAAGTGTGAACTCAGCTAACAGAGGTGGATCTTTCTTTGGTACAGCAGTTTTGAAAAACACTTTGTTGAATCTGCAAGGGGACATTTGGATAGATTTGAAGATTACGTTGGAAACGGGAATATCTTCATATCAAATCTAGACAGAAGCATTCTCGGAAACGTCTTTGTGATGTTTGCATTCAACTCATAGAGTTGAACATTCCGTTTCAGAGAGCAGCTTTGAGGCACTCATTTTGTAGTATGTGCAAGTGGACATTTGGAGCGCTCTGAGGCCTTCGGTGAAAAAGCAAATATCTTCCCATAACCACTAGACAGAAACATTCTCACAAACTCCTTTATGACGTATGTACTCAACTAACAGAGAAGAACCTTCCTTTTGACAGAGCAGTTTTGATACACTCTTTTTGTAGAATCTGCAAGTGGATATTTGGATAGCTGTGAAGATTTCGTTGGAAACGGGAATATCTTCCTATAAAATCTAGACAGAAGCATTCTCAGAAACTGCTATGTGATGTCTGCATTCAAGTCACAGAGTTGAACATTGCCTTTCCTAGAGCAGGTTTGAAACGCTCTTTTTGTAGTATATGGAAGTGGAAGTTTCGGACGGTTTGAGGCCCATGGTGATAAAGGGAATATCTTCCCCTACAAGCTAGAAAGAAGCATTCTGTGAAACTTGTTTGTGATGTGTGTACTCAACTAATAGAGTTGAACCTTTCTTTTTACAGAGCAGTTTTGAAACACTCTTTTTGTAGAATCTGCGAGGGGATATTTGGATAGATTTCAGGATTTCGTTGGAAACGGGAATATCTTCATATAAAATCTCGACAGAAGCATTCTCAGAAGCTTCTTTGTGATATGTGCATTCAAGTCACAGAGTTCAATATTCCCTTTCACAGAGTAGGTTTGAAACACTCTTTTTGTAGTATCTGGAAGTGGACATTTGGAGAGCCTTGACGCCTACGGTGAAAAGGGAAATATCTTCTCATAAAAAGTAGACAGAAGCAATCTCAGAATCTTCTTTGGGATATATGCACGCAGCTAACAGAGTTGAACCTTTCTATTGACAGAGCAGTTTTGAAACAGTCTTTCTGTGGAATCTGCAAGTGGATATTTGGATAGCTTGGAGGATTTCGTTGGAAACGGGATTACGTAGAAAAAGTAGACAGCAGCATCCTCAGAAACTTCTTTGTGATGTGTGCATTCAAGTCACAGAGTTGAACATTCCCTTTCGTACAGCAGTTTTGAAACACTCTTTCTGTAGTATCTGGAAGTGATCATTAGGACAGCTTTCAGGTCTATGGTGAGAAAGGAAATATCTTCAAATAAAAACTAGACAGAAGCATTCTCATAAACTTGTTTGTGATGTGTGAACTCAGCTAACAGAGGTGGATCTTTCTTTTGATAGAGAAGTTCTGAAAAACACTTTTTGTTGAATCTGCAAGTGGACATTTGGATAGATTTGAAGATTTCGTTGGAAACGGGAATATCTTCATATCAAATCTAGACAGAAGCATTCTCAGAAACGTCTTTGTGATGTTTGCATTCAACTCATAGAGTTGAACATTCCGTTTCAGAGAGCAGCTTTGAGGCACTCTTTTTGTAGTATGTGCAAGTGGATATTTGGAGCGCTCTGAGGCCTACGGTGAAAAAGCAAATATCTTCCCATAACCACTAGACAGAAACATTCTCAGAAACTCCTTTATGACGTATGCACTCACCTAACAGAGAAGAACTTTCCTTTTGACAGAGCAGTTTTGATACACTCTTTTTGTAGAATCTGCAAGTGGATATTTGGATAGCTGTGAAGATTTCGTTGGAAACGGGAATATCTTCCTATAAAATCTAGACAGAAGCATTCTCAGAAACTGCTCTGTGATGTCTGCATTCAAGTCACAGAGTTGAACATTGCCTTTCATAGAGCAGGTTTGAAACGCTCTTTTTGTAGTATATAAAAGTGGACGTTTCGGACGGTTTGAGGCCCATGGTCATAAAGGGAATATCTTACCCTACAAGCTAGAAAGAAGCATTCTGTGAAACTTGTTTGTGATGTGTGTACTCAACTAACAGCAGTTGAACCTTTCTTTTCACAGAGCAGTTTTGAAACACTCTTTTTGTAGAATCTGCGAGGGGAAATTTGGATAGATTTCAGGATTTCGTTGGAAACGGGAATATCTTCATACAAAATCTCGACAGAAGCATTCTCAGAAACTTCCTTGTGATATGTGCATTCGAGTCACAGAGTTGAATATTCCCTTTCACAGAGTAGGTTTGAAACACTCTTTTTGTAGTATCTGGAAGTGGACATTTGGAGCGCCTGGACGCCTACGGTGAAAAGGGAAATATCTTCCCATAAAAACTAGACAGAAGCAATCTCAGAATCTTCTTTGGGATTTATGCACGCCGCTAACAGAGATGAACCTTTCTATTGACAGAGCAGTTTTGAAACAGTCTTTCTGTGGAATCTGCAAGTGGATATTTGGATAGCTTGGAGGATTTCGTTGGAAACGGGATTACGTATAAAAAGTAGACAGCAGCATCCTCAGAAACTTCTTTGTGATGTGTGCATTCAAGTCACAGAGTTGAACATTCCCTTTCGTACAGCAGTTTTGAAACACTCTTTCTGTAGTATCTGGAAGTGAACATTAGGACAGCTTTCAGCTCTATGGTGAGAAAGGAAATATCTTCAAATAAAAACTAAACAGAAGCATTCTCATAAACTTGTTTGTGATGTGTGAACTCAGCTAACACACGTGGATCTTTCTTTTGATAGAGCAGTTCTGAAAAACACTTTTTGTTGAATCTGCAAGTGGACATTTGGATAGATTTGAAGATGTCGTTGGAAACGGGAATATCTTCATATCAAATCTAGACGGAAGCATTCTCAGAAACGTCTTTGTGATGTTTGCATTCAACTCATAGAGTTGAACATTCCGTTTCAGAGAGCAGCTTTGAAGCACTCTTTTTGTAGTATGTGCAAGCGGATATTTGGAGCGCTCTGAGGCCTACGGTGAAAAAGCAAATATCTTCCCATAACCACTAGACAGAAACATTCTCAGAAACTCCTTTATGACGTATGCACTCACCTAACAGAGAAGAACCTTCCTTTTGACAGAGCAGTTTTGAAACACTCTTTTTGTAGAATCTGCAAGTGGATATTTGGATACCTGTGAAGATTTCGTTGGAAACGGGAATATCTTCCTATAAAATCTAGACAGAAGCATTCTCAGAAACTGCTCTGTGATGACTGCATTCAAGTCACAGAGTTGAACATTGCCTTTCCTAGAGCAGGTTTGAAACGCTCTTTTTGTAGTATATGGAAGTGGACGTTTCGGACGGTTTGAGGCCCATGGTGATAAAGGGAATATCTTCCCCTACAAGCTAGAAAGAAGCATTCTGTGAAACTTGTTTGTGATGTGTGTACTCAACTAACAGAGTTGAACCTATCTTTTTACAGAGCAGTTTTGAAACACTCTTTTTGTAGAATCTGCGAGGGGATATTTGGATAGATTTCAGGATTTCGTTGGAAACGGGAATATCTTCATATAAAATCTCGACAGAAGCATTCTCAGAAACTTCTTTGTGATATCTGCATTCAAGTCACAGAGTTGAATATTCCCTTTCACAGAGTAGGTTTGAAACACTCTTTTTGTAGTATCTGGAAGTGGACATTTGGAGCGCCTTGACCGCTACGGTGAAAAGGGAAATATCTTCCCATAAAAACTAGACAGAAGCAATCTCAGAATCTTCTTTGGGATATATGCACGCAGCTAACAGAGTTGAACCTTTCTATTGACAGAGCAGTTTTGAAACAGTCTTTCTGTGGAATCTGCAAGTGGATATTTGGATAGTTGGAGGATTTCATTGGAAACGGGATTACGTATAAAAAGTAGACAGCAGCATCCTCAGAAACTTCTTTGTGATGTGTGCATTCAAGTCACAGAGTTGAACATTCCCTTTCGTACAGCAGTTTTGAAACACTCTTTCTGTAGTATCTGGAAGTGAACATTAGGACAGCTTTCAGCTCTATGGTGAGAAAGGAAATATCTTCAAATATAAACTAGACAGAAGCATTTTCATAAACTTGTTTGTGATGTGTGAACTCAGCTAACAGAGGTGGATCATTCTTTTGATAGAGCATCAGCTAACAGACGTGGATCTTTCTTTTGATACAGCAGTTTTGAAAAACACTTTTTGTTGAATCTGCAAGTGGACATTTGGATAGATATGAAGATTTCGTTGGAAACGGGAATATCTTCATATCAAATCTAGACAGAAGCATTCTCAGAAACGTCTTTGTGATGTTTGCATTCAACTCATAGAGTTGAACATTCCCTTCCAGAGAGTAGCTTTGAAGCACTCTTTTTGTAGCATGTGCAAGTGGACATTTGGAGCGCTCTGAGGCCTACGGGGAAAAAGCAAATATCTTCCCATAACCACTAGACAGAAACATTCTCAGAAACTCCTTTATGACGTATGCACTCACCTAACAGAAAAGAACCTTCCTTTTGACAGAGCAGTTTTGATACACTCTTTTTGTAGAATCTGCAAGTGGATATTTGGATAGCTGCGAAGATTTCGTTGGAAACGGGAATATCTTCCTATAAAATCTAGACAGAAGCATTCTCAGAAACTGCTCTGTGATGTCTGCATTCAAGTCACAGAGTTGAACATTGCCTTTCATAGAGCAGGTTTGAAACGCTCTTTTTGTAGTATATGGAAGTGGATGTTTCGGACGGTTGGAGGCCCATGGTGATAAAGGGAATATCTTTCCCTACAAGCTAGAAAGAAGCATTCTGTGAAACTTGTTTGTGATGTGTGTACTCAACTAACAGAGTTGAACCTTTCTTTTTACAGAGCAGTTTTGAAACACTCTTTTTGTAGAATCTGCGAGGGGATATTTGGATAGATTTCAGGATTTCGTTGGAAACGGGAATATCTTCATATAAAATCTCGACGGAAGCATTCTCAGAAACTTCTTTGTGATATGTGCATTCAAGTCACAGAGTTGAATATTCCCTTTCACAGAGTAGGTTTGAAACACTCTTTTTGTAGTATCTGGAAGTGGACATTTGGAGCGCCTTGACACCTATGGTGAAAAGGGAAATATCTTCCCATAAAAACTAGACAGAAGCAATCTCAGAATCTTCTTTGGGATATATGCACGCAGCTAACAGAGTTGAACCTTTCTATTGACAGAGCAGTTTAGAAACAGTCCTTCTGTGGAATCTGCAAGTGGATATTTGGATAGCTTGGAGGATTTCTTTGGAAACGGGATTACGTATAAAAAGTAGACAGCAGCATCCTCAGAAACTTCTTTGTGATGTGTGCATTCAAGTCACAGAGTTGAACATTCCCTTTCGTACAGCAGTATTGAAACACTCTTTCTGTAGTATCTAGAAGTGAACATTAGGACAGCTTTCAGGTCTATGGTGAGAAAGGAAATATCTTCAAATAAAAACTAGACAGAAGCATTCTCATAAACTTGTTTGTGATGTGTGAACTCAGCTAACAGAGGTGGATCTTTCTTTTGATAGAGCAGTTCTGAAAAACACTTTTTGTTGAGTCTGCAAGTGGACATTTGGATAGATTTGAAGATTTCGTTGGAAACGGGAATATCTTCATATCAAATCTAGACAGAAGCATTCTCAGAAACGTCTTTGTGATGTTTGCATTCAACTCATAGAGTTGAACATTCCCTTTCAGAGAGCAGCTTTGAAGCACTCTTTTTGTAGTATGTGCAAGTGGATATTAGGAGCGCTCTGAGGCCTAAGGTGAAAAAGCAAATATCTTCCCATAACCACTAGACAGAAACATTCTCAGAAACTCCTTTATGACGTATGCACTCACCTAACAGAGAAGAACCTTCCTTTTGACAGAGCAGTTTTGATACACTCTTTTTGTAGAATCTGCAAGTGGATATTTGGATAGCTGTGAAGATTTCGTTGGAAAGGGGAATATCTTCCTATAAAATCTAGACAGAAGCATTCTCAGAAACTGCTCTGTGATGTCTGCATTCAAGTCACAGAGTTTAACATTGCCTTTCATAGAGCAGGTTTGAAACGCTCTTTTTGTAGTATATGGAAGTGGACTTTTCGGACGGTTTGAGGCCCATGGTGATAAAGGGAATATCTTCCCCTACAAGCTAGAAAGAAGCATTCTGTGAAACTTGTTTGTGATGTGTGTACTCATCTAACAGAGTTGAACCTTTCTTTTTACAGAGCAGTTTTGAAACACTCTTTTTGTAGAATCTGCGAGGGGATATTTGGATACATTTCAGCATTTCGTTGGAAACGGGAATATCTTCATATAAAATCTCGACAGAAGCATTCTCAGAAACTTCTTTGTGATATGTGCATTCAAGTCACAGAGTTGAATATTCCCTTTCACAGAGTAGGTTTGAAACACTCTTTTTGTAGTATCTGGAAGTGGACATTTGGAGCGCTTTGACACCTACGGTGAAAAGGGAAATATCTTCCCATAAAAACTAGACAGAAGCAATCTCAGAATCTTCTTTGGGATATATGCACGCAGCCAACAGAGTTGAACCTTTCTATTGACAGAGCAGTTTTGAAACAGTCTTTCTGTGGAATCTGCAAGTGGATATTTGGATAGCTTGGAGGATTTCGTTGGAAACGGGATTACGTATAAAAAGTAGACAGCAGCATCCTCAGAAACTTCTTTGTGATGTGTGCATTCAAGTCACAGAGTTGAACATTCCCTTTCGTACAGCAGTTTTGAAACACTCTTTCTGTAGCATCTGGAAGTGAACATTAGGACAGCTTTCAGCTCTATGGTGAGAAAGGAAATATCTTCAAATAAAAACTAGACAGAAGCACTCTCATAAACTTGTTTGTGATGTGTGAACTCAGCTAACAGAGGTGGATCTTTCTTTTGATAGAGCAGTTCTGAAAAACACTTTTTGTTGAATCTGCAAGTGGACATTTGGATAGATTTGAAGATTTCGTTGGAAACGGGAATATCTTCATATCAAATCTAGACAGAAGCATTCTCAGAAACGTCTTTGTGATGTTTGCATTCAACTCATAGAGTTGAACATTCCCTTTCAGAGAGCAGCTTTGAAGCACTCTTTTTGTAGCATGTGCAAGTGGACATTTGGAGCGCCCTGAGGCCTACGGGGAAAAAAGCAAATATCTTCCCATAACCACTAGACAGAAACATTCTCAGAAAATTCTTTATGACGTATGTACTCAACTAGCAGAGAAGAACTTTCCTTTTGACAGAGCAGTTTTGATACACTCTTTTTGTAGAATCTGCAAGTGGATATTTGGATAGCTGTGAAGATTTCGCTGGAAACGGGAATATCTTCCTATAAAACCTAGACAGAAGCATTCTCAGAAACAGCTCTGTGATGTCTGCATTCAAGTCACAGAGTTGAACATTGCCTTTCATAGAGCAGGTTTGAAACGCTCTTTTTGTAGTATATGGAAGTGGACGTTTCGGACGGTTTGAGACCCATGGTGATAAAGGGAATATATTCTCCTACAAGCTAGAAAGAAGCATTCTGTGAAACTTGTTTGTGATGTATGTACTCAACTAACAGAGTTGAACCTTTCTTTTTACAGAGCAGTTTTGAAACACTCTTTTTGTAGAATCTGCGAGGGGATATTTGGATACATTTCAGGATTTCGTTGGAAACGGGAATATCTTCATAGAAAATCTCGACAGAAGCATTCTCAGAAACTTCCTTGTGATATGTGCATTCAAGTCACAGAGTTGAATATTCCCTTTCACAGAGTAGGTTTGAATCACTCTTTTTGTAGTATCTGGAAGTGGACATTTGGAGCGCCTTGACACCTAAGGTGAAAAGGGAAATATCTTCCCATAAAAACTAGACAGAAGCAATCTCAGAATCTTCTTTGGGATATATGCACGCAGCTAACAGAGTTGAACCTTTCTATTGACTGAGCAGATTTGAAACAGTCTTTCTGTGGAATCTGCAAGTGGATATTTGGATAGATTGGAGGATATCGTTGGAAACGGGATTACGTATAAAAAGTAGACAGCACCATCCTCAGAAACTTCTTTGTGATGTGTGCATTCAAGTCACAGAGTTGAACATTCCCTTTCGTACAGCAGTTTTGAAGCACTCTTTCTGTAGTATCTGGGAGTGAACATTAGGACAGCTTTCAGGTCTATGGTGAGAAAGGAAATATCTTCAAATAAAAACTAGACAGAAGCATTCTCATAAACTTGTTTGTGATGTGTGAACTCAGCTAACAGAGATGGATCTTTCTTTTGATAGAGCAGTTCTGAAAAACACTTTTTGTTGAATCTGCAAGTGGACATTTGGATAGATTTGAAGATTTCGTTGGAAACGGGAATATCTTCATATCAAATCTAGGCAGAAGCATTCTCAGAAACGTCTTTGCGATGTTTGCATTCAACTCATAGAGTTGAACATTCCGTTTCAGAGAGCAGCCTTGAGGCACTCTTTTTGTAGTATGTGCAAGTGGATATTTGGAGCGCTCTGAGGCCTACGGTGAAAAAGCAAATATCTTCCCATAACCACTAGACAGAAACATTCTCAGAAACTCCTTTATGACGTATGTACTCAACTAACAGAGAAGAACCTTCCTTTTGACAGAGCAGTTTTGATACACTCTTTTTGTAGAATCTGCAAGCGGATATTTGGATAGCTGTGAAGATCTCGTTGGAAACGGGAATATCTTCCTATAAAATCTAGACAGAAGCATTCTCAGAAACTGCTCTGTGATGTCTGCATTCAAGTCACAGAGTTGAACATTGCCTTTCATAGAGCAGGTTTGAAACGCTCTTTTTGTAGTATATGGATGTGGACGTTTCGGACGGTTTGAGGCCCATGGTGATAAAGGGAATATCTTCCCCTACAAGCTAGAAAGAAGCATTCTGTGAAACTTGTTTGTGATGTGTGTACTCAACTAACAGAGTTGAACCTTTCTTTTCACAGAGCAGTTTTGAAACACTCTTTTTGTAGAATCTGCGAGGGGATATTTGGATAGATTTCACCATTTCGTTGGAAACGGGAATATCTTCATATAAAATCTCGACAGAAGCATTCACAGAAACTTCTTTGTGATATCTGCATTCAAGTCACAGAGTTGAATATTCCCTTTCACAGAGTAGGTTTGAAACACTCTTTGTGGTATCTGGAAGTGGACATATCGAGCACCTTGACGCCTACGGTGAAAAGGGAAATATCTTCCCATAAAAACCAGACAGAAGCAATCTCAGAATCTTCTTTGGGATATATGCACGCAGCTAACAGAGTTGAATCTTTCTGTTGACAGAGCAGATTTGAAACAGTCTTTCTGTGGAATCTGCAAGTGGATATTTGGATAGATTGGAGGATTTCGTTGGAAACGGGATTACGTATAAAAAGTAGACAGCAGCATCCTCAGAAACTTCTTTGTGATGTGTGCATTCAAGTCACAGAGTTGAACATTCCCTTTCGTACAGCAGTTTTGAAACACTCTTTCTGTAGTATCTGGAAGTGAACATTAGGACAGATTTCAGCTCTATGGTGAGAAAGGAAATATCTTCAAATAAAAACTAGACAGAAGCATTCTCATAAACTTGTTTGTGATGTGTGAACTCATCTAACAGAGGTGGATCTTTCTTTTGATAGAGCAGTTCTGAAAAACACTTTTTGTTGAATCTGCAAGTGGACATTTGGATAGATTTGAAGATTTCGTTGGAAACGGGAATATGCTTCATATCAAATCTAGACAGAAGCATTCTCAGAAATGTCTTTGTGATGTTTGCATTCAACTCATAGAGTTGAACATTCCCTTTCAGAGAGCAGCTTTGAAGCACTCTTTTTGTAGTATGTGCAAGGGGATATTTGGAGCGCTCTGAGGCCTAAGGTGAAAAAGCAAATATCTTCCCATAACCACTAGACAGAAACATTCTCAGAAACTGCTTTATGACGTATGCACTCACCTAACAGAGAAGAACCTTCCTTTTGACAGAGCAGTTTTGATACACTCTTTTTGTAGAATCTGCAAGTGGATATTTGGATAGCTGTGAAGATTTCGTTGGAAACGGGAATATCTTCCTATAAAATCTAGACAGAAGCATTCTCAGAAACTGCTCTGTGATGTCTGCATTCAAGTCACAGAGTTGAACATTGCCTTTCATAGAGCAGGTTTGAAACGCTCTTATTGTAGTATATGGAAGTGGACTTATCGGACGGTTTGAGGCCCATGGTGATAAAGGGAATATCTTCCCCTACAAGCTAGAAAGAAGCATTCTGTGAAACTTGTTTGTGATGTGTGTACTCAACTAACAGAGTTGAACCTTTCTTTTCACAGAGCAGTTTTGAAACACTCTTTTTGTAGAATCTGCGAGGGGAAATTTGGATAGATTTCAGGATTTCGTTGGAAACGGGAATATCTTCATACAAAATACTCGACAGAAGCATTCTCAGAAACTTCTTTGTGATATGTGCATTCAAGTCACAGAGTTGAATATTCCCTTTCACAGAGTAGGTTTGAAACACTCTTTTTGTAGTATCTGGAAGTGGACATTTGGAGCGCCTTGACGCCTACAGTGAAAAGGGAAATATCTTCTCATAAAAAGTAGACAGAAGCAATCTCAGAATCTTCTTTGGGATATATGCACGCAGCTAACAGAGTTGAACCTTTCTATTGACAGAGCAGTTTTGAAACAGTCTTTCTGTGGAATCTGAAAGTGGATATTTGGATAGCTTGGAGGATTTCGTTGGAAACGGGATTACGCATAAAAAGTAGACAGCAGCATCCTCAGAAACTTCTTTGTGATGTGTGCATTCAAGTCACAGAGTTGAACATTCCCTTTCGTACAGTAGTTTTGAAACACTCTTTCTGTAGTATCTGGAATTGAACATTAGGACAGCTTTCAGGTCTATGGTGAGAAAGGAAATATCTTCAAATAAAAACTAGACAGAAGCATTCTCATAAACTTGTTTGTGATGTGTGAACTCAGCTAAGAGACGTGGATCTTTCTTTTGATAGAGCAGTTCTGAAAAACACGTTTTGTTGAATCTGCAAGTGGACATTTGGATAGATTTGAAGATTTCGTTGGAAACGGGAATATCTTCATATCAAATCTAGACAGAAGCATTCTCAGAAACGTCTTTGTGACGTTTGCATTCAACTCATAGAGTTGAACATTCCCTTTCAGAGAGCAGCTTTGAAGCACTCTTTTTGTAGTATGTGCAAGGGGATATTTGGAGCGCTCTGAGGCCTAAGGTGAAAAAGCAAATATCTTCCCATAACCACTAGACAGAAACATTCTCAGAAACTCCTTTATGACGTATGCACTCACCTAACAGAAAAGAACCTTCCTTTTGACAGAGCAGTTTTTATACACTCTTTTTGTAGAATCTGCAAGTGGATATTTGGATAGCTGTGAAGATTTCGTTGGAAACGGGAATATCTTCCTATAAAATCTAGACAGAAGCATTCTCAGAAACTGCTCTCTTATGTCTGCATTCAAGTCACAGAGTTGAACATTGCCTTTCCTAGAGCAGGTTTGAAACGCTCTTTTTGTAGTATATGGAAGTGGACGTTTCGGACGGTTTGAGGACCATGGTGATAAAGGGAATATCTTCCCCTACAAGCTAGAAAGAAGCATTCTGTGAAACTTGTTTGTGATGTGTGTACTCAACTAACAGAGTTGAACCTTTCTTTTCACAGAGCAGCTTTGAAACACTCTTTTTGTAGAATCTGCGAGGGGATATTTGGATAGATTTCAGGATTTCGTTGGAAACGGGTATATCTTCATATAAAATCTCGACAGAAGCATTCTCAGAAACTTCTTTGTGATATGTGCATTCAAGTCACACAGTTGAATATTCCCTTTCACAGAGTAGGTTTGAAACACTCTTTTTGTAGTATCTGGAAGTGGACATTTGGAGCGCCTTGACACCTACGGTGAAAAGGGAAATATCTTCCCATAAAAACTAGAGAGAAGCAATCTCAGAATCTTCCTTGGGATATATGCACGCAGCTAACAGAGTTGAACTTTTCTATTGACAGAGCAGTTTTGAAACAGTCTTTCTGTGGAATCTGCAAGTGGATATTTGGATAGCTTGGAGGATTTCGTTGGAAACGGGATTACGTATAAAAAGTAGACAGCAGCATCCTCAGAAACTTCTTTGTGATGTGTGCATTCAAGTCACAGAGTTGAACATTCCCTTTCATACAGCAGTTTTGAAACACTCTTTCTGTAGTATCTGGAAGTGAACAATAGGACAGCTTTCAGGTCTATGGTGAGAAAGGAAATATCTTCAAATAAAAACTAGACAGAAGGATTCTCATAAACTTGTTTGTGATGTGTGAACTCAGCTAACAGAGGTGGATCTTTCTTTTGATACAGCAGTTTTGAAAAACACTTTTTGTTGAATCTGCAAGTGGACATTTGGATAGATTTGAAGATTTCGTTGGAAACGGGAATATCTTCATATCAAATCTAGACAGAAGCATTCTCAGAAACGTCTTTGTGATGTTTGCATTCAACTCATAGAGTTGAACATTCCCTTTCAGAGAGCAGCTTTGAAGCACTCTTTTTGTAGTATGTGCAAGTGGATATTTGGAGCGCTCTGAGGCCTACGGGGAAAAAGCAAATATCTTCCCATAACCACTAGACAGAAACATTCTCAGAAACTCCTTTATGACGTATGCTCTCACCTAACAGAGAAGAACCTTCCTTTTGACAGAGCAGTTTTGATACACTCTTTTTGTAGAATCTGCAAGTGGATATTTGGATAGCTGTGAAGATTTCGTTGGAAACGGGAATATCTTCCTATAAAATCTAGACAGAAGCATTCTCAGAAAATGCTCTGTGATGTCTGCATTCAAGTCACAGAGTTGAACATTGCCTTTCATAGAGCAGGTTTGAAACGCTCTTTTTGTAGTATATGGAAGTGGACGTTTCGGACGGTTTGAGGCCCATGGTGATAAAGGGAATATCTTCCCCTACAAGCTAGAAAGAAGCATTCTGTGAAACTTGTTTGTGATGTGTGTACTCAACTAACAGAGTTGAACCTTTCTTTTCACAGAGCAGTTTTGAAACACTCTTTTCGTAGAATCTGCGAGGGGATATTTGGATAGATTTCAGCATTTCGTTGGAAACGGGAATATCTTCATATAAAATCTCGACAGAAGCATTCTCAGAAACTTCCTTGTGATATGTGCATTCAAGTCACAGAGTTGAATATTCCCTTTCACAGAGTAGGTTTGAAACACTCTTTTTGTAGTATCTGGAAGTGGACATTTGGAGCGCCTGGACGCCTACGGTGAAAAGGGAAATATCTTCCCATAAAAACTAGACAGAAGCAATCTCAGAATCTTCTTCGGGATATATGCACGCAGCTAACAGAGTTGAACCTTTCTATTGACAGAGCAGTTTTGAAACAGTCTTTCTGTGGAATCTGCTAGTGGATATTTGGATAGCTTGGAGGATTTCGTTGGAAACGGGATTAAGTATAAAAAGTAGACAGCAGCATCCTCAGAATCTTCTTTGTGATGTGTGCATTCAAGTCACAGAGTTGAACATTCCCTTTCGTACAGCAGTGTTGAAACACTCTTTATGTAGTATCTGGAAGTGAACATTAGGACAGCTTTCAGGTCTATGGTGAGAAAGGAAATATCTTCAAATAAAAACTAGACAGAAGCATTCTCATAAACTTGTTTGTGATGTGTGAACTCAGCTAACAGAGGCGGATCTTTCTTTTGATAGAGCAGTTCGGAAAAACACTTTTTGTTGAATCTGCAAGTGGACATTTGGATAGATTTGAAGATTTCGTTGGAAACGGGAATATCTTCATATCAAATCTAGACAGAAGCATTCTCAGAAACGTCTTTGGGATGTTTGCATTCAACTCATAGAGTTGAACATTCCCTTTCAGAGAGCAGCTTTGAAGCACTCTTTTTGTAGTATGTGCAAGTGGATATTTGGAGCGCTCTGAGGCCTAAGGTGAAAAAGCAAATATCTTCCCATAACCACTAGACAGAAACATTCTCAGAAACTCCTTTATGACGTATGTACTCAACTAACAGAGAAGAACCTTCCTTTTGACAGAGGAGTTTTGATACACTCTTTTTGTAGAATCTGCAAGTGGATATTTGGATAGCTGTGAAGATTTCGTTGGAAACGGGAATATCTTCCTATAAAATCCAGACAGAAGCATTCTCAGAAACAGCTCTGTGATGTCTGCATTCAAGTCACAGAGTTGAACACTGCCTTTCCTAGAGCAGGTTTGAAACGCTCTTTTTGTAGTATATGGAAGTGGACGTTTCGGACGGTTTGAGACCCATGGTGATAAAGGGAATATATTCCCCTACAAGCTAGAGAGAAGCATTCTGTGAAACTTGTTTGTGATGTTTGTACTCAACTAACAGAGTTGAACCTTTCTTTTACAGAGCAGTTTTGAAACACTCTTTTTGTAGAATCTGCGAGGGGATATTTGGATACATTTCAGGATTTCGTTGGAAACGGGAATATCTTCATATAAAATCTCGACAGAAGCATTCTCAGAAACTTCTTTGTGATATCTGCATTCAAGTCACAGAGTTGAATATTCCCTTTCACAGAGTAGGTTTGAAACACTCTTTTTGTAGTGTCTGGAAGTGGAAATTTGGAGCACATTGACACCTACGGTGAAAAGGGAAATATCTTCCCATTAAAACTAGACAGAAGCAATCTCAGAATTTTCTTTGGGATATATGCACACAGCTAACAGAGTTGAACTTTTCTATTGACATAGCAGTTTTGAAACGGTCTTTCTGTGGAATCTGCAAGTGGATATTTGGATAGCTTGGAGGATTTCGTTGGAAACGGGATTACGTATAAAAAGTAGACAGCAGCATCCTCAGAAACTTCTTTGTGATGTGTGCATTCAAGTCACAGAGTTGAACATTCCCTTTCGTACAGCAGTTTTGAAACACTCTTTCTGTAGTATCTGGAAGTGAACATTAGGACACCTTTCAGCTCTATGGTGAGAAAGGAAATATCTTCAAATAAAAACTAGACAGAAGCATTCTCATAAACATGTTTGTGATGTGTGAACTCAGCTAAAAGAGGTGGATCTTTCTTTTGATAGAGCAGTTCTGAAAAACACTTTTTGTTGAATCTGCAAGTGGACATTTGGATGGATTTGAAGATTTCTTTGGAAACGGGAATATCTTCATATCAAATCTAGACAGAAGCATTCTCAGAAACGTCTTTGTGATGTTTGCATTCAACTCATAGAGTTGAACATTCCGTTTCAAAGAGCAGCTTTGAGGCACTCTTTTTGTAGTATGTGCAAGTGGATATTTGGAGCGCTCTGAGGACTAAGGTGAAAAAGCAAATATCTTCCCATAACCACTAGACAGAAACATTCTCAGAAACTCCTTTATGACGTATGCACTCACCTAACAGAAAAGAACCTTCCTTTTGACAGAGCAGTTTTGATACACTCTTTTTGTAGAATCTGCAAGTGGATATTTGGATAGCTGTGAAGATTTCGTTGGAAACGGGAATGTCTTCCTATAAAATCTAGACAGAAGCATTCTCAGAAACTGCTCTGTGATGTCTGCATTCAAGTCACAGAGTTGAACATTGCCTTTCATAGAGCAGGTTTGAAACGCTCTTTTTGTAGTATATGGAAGTGGACGTTTCGGACGGTTTGAGGCCCATGGTGATAAAGGAAATATCTTCCCCTACAAGCTAGAAAGAAGCATTCTGTGAAACTTGTTTGTGATGTGTGTACTCAACTAACAGAGTTGAACCTTTCTTTTTACAGAGCAGTTTTGAAACACTCTTTTTGTAGAATCTGCGAGGGGAAATTTGGATACATTTCAGGATTTCGTTGGAAACGGGAATATCTTCATACAAAATCTCGACAGAAGCATTCTCAGAAGCTTCTTTGTGATATGTGCATTGAAGTCACAGAGTTCAATATTCCCTTTCACAGAGTAGGTTTGAAACACTCTTTTTGTAGTATCTGGAAGTGGACATTTGGAGCGCCTTGACGCCTACGGTGAAAAGGGAAATATCTTCCCATAAAAACTAGACAGAAGCAATCTCAGAATCTTCTTTGGGATATATGCACGCAGCTAACAGAGTTGAACCTTTCTATTGACAGAGCAGTTTTGAAACAGTCTTTCTGTGGAATCTGCAAGTGGATATTTGGATAGTTTGGAGGATTTCGTTGGAAACGGGATTACGTATAAAAATTAGACAGCAGCATCCTCAGAAACTTCTTTGTGATGTGTGCATTCAAGTCACAGAGTTGAATATTCCCTTTCATACAGCAGTTTTGAAACACTCTTTCTGTAGTATCTGGAAGTGAACTTTAGGAGAGCTTTCAGGTATATAGTGAGAAAGGATATATCTTCAAATAAAAACTAGACAGAAGCATTCTCATAAAGTTGTTTGTGATGTGTGAACTCAGCTAACAGAGGTGGATCTTTCTTTTGATAGAGCAGTTCTGAAAAACACTTTTTGTTGAATCTGCAAGTGGACATTTGGATAGACTTGAAGATTTCGTTGGACACGGGAATATCTTCATATCAAATCTAGACAGAAGCATTTTCAGAAACGTCTTTGTGATGTTTGCATTCAACTCATAGAGTTGAACATTCCGTTTCAGAGAGCAGCTTTGAGGCACACTTTTTGTAGTATGTGCAAGTGGATATTTGGAGCGCTCTGAGGCCTACGGTGAAAAAGCAAATATCTTCCCATAACCACTAGACAGAAACATTCTCAGAACTCCTTTATGACGTATGCACTCACCTAACAGAGAAGAACCTTCCTTTTGACAGAGCAGTTTTGATACACTCTTTTTGTAGAATCTGCAAGTGGATATTTGGATAGCTGTGAAGATTTCGTTGGAAACGGGAATATCTTCCTATAAAATCTAGACAGAAGGATTCTCAGAAACTGCTCTGTGATGTCTGCATTCAAGTCACAGAGTTGAACATTGCCTTTCATAGAGCAGGTTTGAAACGCTCTTTTTGTAGTATATGGAAGTGGACGTTTCGGACGGTTTGAGGCCAATGGTGATAAAGGGAATATCTTCCCCTACCAGCTAGAAAGAAGCATTCTGTGAAACTTGTTTGTGATGTGTGTACTCAACTAACAGAGTTGAACCTTTCTTTTTACAGAGCAGTTTTGAAACACGCTTTTTGTAGAATCTGCGAGGGGATATTTGGATAGATTTCAGGATTTCGTTGGAAACGGGAATATCTTCATATAAAATCTCGACAGAAGCATTCTCAGAAACTTCATTGTGATATCTGCATTCAAGGCACAGAGTTGAATATTCCCTTTCAGAGAGTAGGTTTGAAACACTCTTTTTGTAGTATCTGGAAGTGGACATTTGGAGCGCCTTGACACCTACGGTGAAAAGGGAAATATCTTCCCATAAAAACTAGACAGAAGCAATCTCAGAATCTTCTTTGGGATATATGCACGCAGCTAACAGAGTTGAACCTTTCTATTGACAGAGCAGTTTTGAAACAGTATTTCTGTGGAATCTGCAAGTGGATATTTGGATAGCTTGGAGGATTTCGTTGGAAAAGGGATTACGTATAAAAAGTAGACAGCAGCATCCTCAGAAACTTCTTTGTGATGTGTGCATTCAAGTCACAGAGTTGAACATTCCCTTTCGTACAGCAGTTTTGAAACACTCTTTCTGTAGTATCTGGAAGTGAACTTTAGGAGAGCTTTCAGGTCTATAGTGAGAAAGGAAATATCTTCAAATAAAAACTAGACAGAAAGCATTCTCATAAACTTCTTTGTGATGTGTGAACTCAGCTAACCGAGGTGGATCTTTCTTTTGATAGAGCAGTTCTGAAAAACACTTTTTGTTGAATCTGCAAGTGGACATTTGGATAGATTTGAAGATTTCGTTGGAAACGGGAATAACTTCATTTCAAATCTAGACAGAAGCATTCTCAGAAACGTCTTTGTGACGTTTGCATTCAACTCATAGAGTTGAACATTCCGTTTCAGAGAGCAGCTTTGAGGCACTCTTTTTGTAGTATGTGGAAGTGGATATTTGGAGCGCTCTGAGGCCTACGGTGAAAAAGCAAATATATTCCCATAACCACTAGACAGAAACATTCTCAGAAATTCCTTTATGACGTATGCACTCACCTAACAGAGAAGAACCTTCCTTTTGACAGAGCAGTTTTGATACACTCTTTTTGTAGAATCTGCAAGTGGATATTTGGATACCTGTGAAGATTTCGTTGGAAACGGGAATATCTTCCTATAACATCTAGACAGAAGCATTCTCAGAAACTGCTCTGTGATGTCTGCATTCAAGTCACAGAGTTGAACATTGCCTTTCATAGAGCAGGTTTGAAACGCTCTTTTTGTACTATATGGAAGAGGACGTTTCGGACGGTTTGAGGCCCATGGTGATAAAGGGAATATCTTCCCCTACAAGCTAGAAAGAAGCATTCTGTGAAACATGTTTGTGATGTGTGTTCTCAACTAACAGAGTTGAACCTTTCTTTTTACAGAGCACTTTTGAAACACTCTTTTTGTAGAATCTGCGAGGGGATATTTGGATAGATTTCAGGATTTCGTTGGAAACGGGAATATCTTCATATAAAATCTCGACAGAAGCATTCTCAGAAACTTCTTTGTGATATCTGCATTCAAGTCACAGAGTTGAATATTCCCTTTCACAGAGTAGGTTTGAAACACTCTTTTTGTAGTGTCTGGAAGTGGACATTTGGAGCACATTGACACCTACGGTGAAAAGGGAAATATCTTCCCATAAAAACTAGACAGAAGCAATCTCAGAATCTTCTTTGGGATATATGCACGCAGCTAACAGAGTTGAACCTTTCTATTGACAGAGCAGTTTTGAAACAGTCTTTCTGTGGAATCTGCAAGTGGATATTTCGATAGCTTGGAGGATTTCGTTGGAAACGGGATTACGTATAAAAAGTAGCCAGCAGCATCCTCAGAAACTTCTTTGTGATGTGTGCATTCAAGTCACAGAGTTGAGCATTCCCTTTCGTACAGCAGTTTTGAAACACTCTTTCTGTAGTATCTGGAAGTGAACATTAGGACAGCTTTCAGGTCTATGGTGAGAAAGGAAATATCTTCAAATAAAAACTAGACAGAAGCATTCTCATAAACTTGTTTGTGATGTGTGAACTCAGCTAACAGAGGTGGATCTTTCTTTTGATAGAACAGTTCTGAAAAACACTTTTTGTTGAATCTGCAAGTGGACATTTGGATAGATTTGAAGATTTCGTTGGAAACGGGAATATCTTCATATCAAATCTAGACAGAAAGCATTCTCAGAAACGTCTTTGTGATGTTTGCATTCAACTCATAGAGTTGAACATTCCGTTTCAGAGACCAGCTTTGAAGCACTCTTTTTGTAGTATGTGCAAGTGGATATTTGGAGCGCTCTGAGGCCTACGGTGAAAAAGCAAATATCTTCCCATAACCACTAGACAGAAACATGCTCAGAAACTCCTTTATGACGTATGCACTCACCTAACAGAGAAGAACCTTCCTTTTGACAGAGCAGTTTTGATACACTCTTTTTGTAGAATCTGCAAGTGGATATTTGGATAGCTGTGAAGATTTCGTTGGAAACGGGAATATCTTCCTATAAAATCTAGACAGAAGCATTCTCAGAAACTGCTCTGTGATGTCTGCATTCAAGTCACAGAGTTGAACATTGCCTTTCATAGAGCAGGTTTGAAACCCTCTTTTTGTAGTATATGGAAGTGGACGTTTCGGACGGTTTGAGGCCCATGGTGATAAAGGGAATATCTTCCCCTACAAGCTAGAAAGAAGCATTCTGTGAAACTTGTTTGTGATGTGTGTACTCAACTAATAGAGTTGAACCTTTCTTTTTACAGAGCAGTTTTGAAACACTATTTTTGTAGAATCTGCGAGGGGATATTTGGATAGATTTCAGGATTTCGTTGGAAACGGGAATATCTTCATATAAAATCTCGACAGAAGCATTCTCAGAAACTTCATTGTGATATCTGCATTCAAGTCACAGAGTTGAATATTCCCTTTCACAGAGTAGGTTTGAAACACTCTTTTTGTAGTATCTGGAAGTGGACATTTGGAGCGCCTTGACACCTACGGTGAAAAGGGAAATATCTTCCCATAAAAACTAGACAGAAGCAATCTCAGAATCTTCTTTGGGATATATGCACGCAGCTAACAGAGTTGAACCTTTCTACTGACAGAGCAGTTTAGAAACAGTCTTTCTGTGGAATCTGCAAGTGGATATTTGGATAGATTGGAGGATTTCGTTGGAAACGGGATTACGTATAAAAAGTAGACAGCAGCATCCTCAGAAACTTCCTTGTGATGTGTGCATTCAAGTCACAGAGATGAACATTCCCTTTCGTACAGCAGTTTTGAAACACTCTTTCTGTAGTATCTGGAAGTGAACATTAGGAGGGCTTTCAGGTCTATAGTGAGAAAGGATATATCTTCAAATAAAAACTAGACAGAAGAATTCTGATAAACTTGTTTGTGAAGTGTGAACTCAGCTAACACAGGTGGATCTTTCTTTTGATACAGCAGTTTTGAAAAACACTTTGTTGAATCTGCAAGTGGACATTTGGATAGATTTGAAGATTTCGTTGGAAACGGGAATATCTTCTTATCAAATCTAGACAGAAGCATTCTCAGAAACGTCTTTGTGATGTTTGCATTCAACTCACAGATTTGAACATTCCCTTTCAGAGAGCAGCTTTGAAGCACTCTTTTTGTAGTATGTGCAAGGGGATATTTGGAGCGCTCTGAGGCCTACGGTGAAAAAGCAAATATCTTCCCATAACCACTAGACAGAAACATTCTCAGAAACTCCTTTATGACGTATGCACTCACCTAACAGAGAAGAAGCTTCCTTTTGACAGAGCACTTTTGATACACTCTTTTTGTAGAATCTGAAAGTGGATATTTGGATAGCTGTGAAGATTTCGTTGGAAACGGGAATATCTTCCTATAAAATCTAGACAGAAGCATTCTCAGAAACTGCTCTGTGATGTCTGCATTCAAGTCACAGAGTTGAACATTGCCTTTCATTTAGCAGGTTTGAAACGCTCTTTTTGTAGTATATGGAAGTGGACGTTTCGGACGGTTTGAGGCCCATGGTGATAAAGGGAATATCTTCCCCTACAAGCTAGAAAGAAGCATTCTGTGAAACTTGTTTGTGATGTGTGTACTGAAGTAACAGAGTTGAACCTTTCTTTTTACAGAGCAGTTTTGAAACACTCTTTTTGTAGAATCTGCGAGGGGATATTTGGATAGAATTCAGGATTTCGTTGGAAACGGGAATATCTTCATAGAAAATCTCGACAGAAGCATTCTCAGAAGCTTCGTTGTGATATGTGCATTCAAGTCACAGAGTTGAATATTCCCTTTCACAGAGTAGGTTTGAAACACACTTTTTGTAGTATCTGGAAGTGGACTTTTGGAGCGCCTTGATGCCTACGGTGAAAAGGGAAATATCTTCTCATAAAAAGTAGACAGAAGCAATCTCAGAATCTTCTTTGGGATATATGCACGCAGCTAACAGAGTTGAACCTTTCTATTGACAGAGCAGTTTTGAAACAGTCTTTCTGTGGAATCTGCAAGTGGATATTTGGATAGCTTGGGAGGATTTCGTTGGAAACGGGATTACGTATAAAAAGTAGACAGCAGCATCCTCAGAAACTTCTTTGTGATGTGTGCATTCAAGTCACAGAGTTGAACATTCCCTTTCTTACAGCAGTTTTGAAACGCTCTTTCTGTAGTATCTGGAAGTGAACATTAGGACAGCTTTCAGGTCTATGGTGAGAAAGGAAATATCTTCAAATAAAAACTAGACAGAAGCATTCTCATAAACTTGTTTGTGATGTGTGAACTCAGCTAACAGACGTGGATCTTTCTTTTGATACAGCAGTTTTGAAAAACACTTTTTGTTGAATCTGCAAGTGGACATTTGGATAGATTTGAAGATTTCGTTGGAAACGGGAATATCTTCATATCAAATACTAGACAGAATCATTCCCAAAAACGTCTTTGTGATGTTTGCATTCAACTCATAGAGTTGAACATTCCGTTTCAGAGAGCAGCTTTGAAGCACTCTTTTTGTAGTATGTGCAAGGGGATATTTGGAGTGCTCTGAGGCCTAAGGTGAAAAGGCAAATATCTTCCCATAACCACTAGACAGAAACATTCTCAGAAACTCCTTTATGACGTATGCACTCACCTAACAGAGAAGAAACCTTCCTTTTGACAGAGCAGTTTTGATACACTCTTTTTGTAGAATCTGCAAGTGGATATTTGGATAGCTGTGAAGATTTCGTTGGAAACGGGAATATCTTCCTATAAAATCTATACAGAAGCATTCTCAGAAACTGCTCTGTGATGTCTGCATTCAAGTCACAGAGTTGAACATTGTCTTTCCTAGAACAGGTTTGAAACGCTCTTTTTGTAGTATATGGAAGTGGACGTTTCGGACGGTTTGAGGCCCATGGTGATAAAGGGAATATCTTCCCCTACAAGCTAGAAAGAAGCATTCTGTGAAACTTGTTTGTGATGTGTGTACTCAACTAACAGAGTTGAACCTTTGTTTTTACAGAGCAGTTTTGAAACACTCTTTTTGTAGAATCTACGAGGGGATATTTGGATACATTTCAGCATTTCGTTGGAAACGGGAATATCTTCATATAAAATCTCGACAGAAGCATTCTCAGAAACTTCTTTGTGATATCTGCATTCAAGTCACAGAGTTGAATATTCCCTTTCACAGAGTAGGTTTGAAACACTCCTTTTGTAGTATCTGGAAGTGGACATTTGGATCGCCTTGACGCCTACGGTGAAAAGGGAAATATCTTCTCATAAAAACTAGACAGAAGCAATCTCAGAATCTTCTTTGGGATATATGCACGCAGTTAACAGAGTTGAACCTTTCTATTGACAGAGCAGTTTTGAAACAGTCTTTCTGTGGAATCTCCAAGTGGATATTTGGATAGCTTGGAGCATTTCGTTGGAAACGGGATTACGTATAAAAAGTAGACAGCAGCATCCTCAGAAACTTCTTTGTGATGTGTGCATTCAAGTCACAGGGTTGAACATTCCCTTTCGTACAGCAGTTTTGAAACACTCTTTCTGTAGTAACTGGAAGTGAACATTAGGACAGCTTTCAGGTCTATGGTGAGAAAGGAAATATCTTCAAATAAAAACTAGACAGAAGCATTCTCATAATCTTGTTTGTGATGTGTGAACTCAGCTAACAGACGTGGATCTTTCTTTTGATACAGCAGTTTTGAAAAACACTTTTTGTTGAATCTGCAAGTGGACATTTGGATAGATATGAAGATTTCGTTGGAAACGGGAATATCTTCATATCAAATCTAGACAGAAGCATTCTCAGAAACGTCTTTGTCATGTTTGCATTCAACTCATAGAGTTGAACATTCCGTTTCAGAGAGCAGCTTTGAAGCACTCTTTTTGTAGTATGTGCAAGTGGATATTTGGAGCGCTCTGAGGCCTAAGGTGAAAAAGCAAATATCTTACCGTAACCACTAGACAGAAACATTCTCAGAAACTCCTTTATGACGTATGTACTCAACTAACAGAGAAGAACCTTCCTTTTGACAGAGCAGTTTTGATACACTCTTTTTGTAGAATCTGCAAGTGGATATTTGGATAGCTGTGAAGATTTCGCTGGAAACGGGAATATCTTCCTATAAAATCTAGACAGAAGCATTCTCAGAAACTGCTCTGTGATGTCTGCATTCAAGTCACAGAGTTGAACATTGCCTTTCATAGAGCAGGTTTCAAACACTCTTTTTTTAGTATATGGAAGTGGACGCTTCGGACGGTTTGAGGCCCATGGTGATACAGGGAATATCTTCCCCTACAAGCTAGAAAGAAGCATTCTGTGAAAGTTGTTTGTGATGTGTGTACTCAACTAACAGAGTTGAACCTTTGTTTTTACAGAGCAGTTTTGAAACACTCTTTTTGTAGAATCTGCGAGGGGATATTTGGATAGATTTCAGGATTTCATTGGAAACGGGAATATCTTCATATAAAATCTCAACAGAAGCATTCTCAGAAACTTCTTTGTGATATGTGCATTCAAGTCACAGGTTTGAATATTCCCTTTCACAGAGTAGGTTTGAAACACTCTTTTTGTAGTATCTGGAAGTGGACATTTGGAGCGCCTTGACGCCTAAGGTGAAAAGGGAAATATCTTCCCATAAAAACTAGACAGAAGCAATCTCAGAATCTTCTTTGGGATATATGCACCGCAGCTAACAGAGTTGAACCTTTCTATTGACAGAGCAGTTTTGAAACAGTCTTTCTGTGGAATCTGCAAGTGGATATTTGGATAGCTTGGAGGATTTCGTTGGAAACGGGATTACGCATAAAAAGTAGACAGCAGCATCCTCAGAAACTTCTTTGTGATGTGTGCATTCAAGTCACAGAGTTGAATATTCCCTTTCGTACAGCAGTTTTGAAACACTCTTTCTGTAGTATCTGGAAGTGAACACTAGGACAGCTTTCAGGTCTATGGTGAGAAAGGAAATATCTTCAAATAAAAACTAGACAGAAGCATTCTCTTAAACTTGTTTGTGATGTGTGAACTCAGCTAACAGATGTGGATCTTTCTTTTGATATAACAGTTTTGAAAAACACTTTTTGTTGAATCTGCAAATGGACATTTGGATAGATTTGAAGATTTCGTTGGAAACGGGAATATCTTCATATCAAATCTAGACAGAAGCATTCTCAGAAACGTCTTTGTGATGTTTGCATTCAACTCATAGAGTTGAACATTCCGTTTCAGAGAGCAGCTTTGAAGCACTCTTTTTGTAGTATGTGCAAGTGGATATTTGGATCGCTCTGAGGCCTACGGTGAAAAAGCAAATATCTTCCCATAACCACTAGACAGAAACATTCTCAGAAACTCCTTTATGACGTATGCACTCACCTAACAGAGAAGAACCTTCCTTTTGACAGAGCAGTTTTGATACACTCTTTTTGTAGAATCTGCAAGTGGATATGTGGATAGCTGTGAAGATTTCGTTGGAAACGGGAATATCTTCCTATAAAATCTAGACAGAAGCATTCTCAGAAACTGCTCTGTGATGTCTGCATTCAAGTCACAGAGTTGAACATTGCCTTTCATAGAGCAGGTTTGAAACGCTCTTTTTGTAGTATATGGAAGTGGATGTTTCGGACGGTTGGAGGCCCATGGTGATAAAGGGAATATCTTCCCCTACAAGATAGAAAGAAGCATTCTGTGAAACTTGTTTGTGATGTGTGTACTCAACTAAGAGAGTTGAACCTTTCTTTTCACAGAGCAGTTTTGAAACACTCTTTTTGTAGACTCTCCGAGGGGATATTTGGATAGATTTCAGGATTTCGTTGGAAACGGGAATATCTTCATACAAAATCTCGACAGAAGCATTCTCAGAAACTTCTTTGTGATATGTGCATTCAAGTCACAGAGTTGAATATTCCCTTTCACAGAGTAGGTTTGAAACACTCTTTTGGTAGTATCTGGAAGTGGACATTTGGAGCGCCTTGACACCTACGGTGAAAAGGGAAATATCTTCCCATCAAAACTAGACAGAAGCAATCTCAGAATCTTCTTTGGGATATATGCATGCAGCTAACAGAGTTGAACCTTTCTATTGACAGAGCAGTTTTGAAACAGTCTTTCTGTGGAATCTGCAAGTGGATATTTGGATAGCTTGGAGGATTTCGTTGGAAACGGGATTACGTATAAAAAGTAGACAGCAGCATCCTCAGAAACTTCTTTGTGATGTGTGCATTCAAGTCACAGAGTTGAACATTCCCTTTCGTACAGCAGTTTTGAAACACTCTTTCTGTAGTACCTGGAAGTGAACATTAGGACAGCTTTCAGGTCTATGGTGAGAAAGGAAATATCTTCAAATAAAAACTAGACAGAAGCATTCTCATAAACTTGTTTGTAATGTGTGAACTCAGCTAACACACGTGGATCTTTCTTTTGATAGAGCAGTTCTGAAAAACACTTTTTGTTGAATCTGCAAGTGGACATTTGGATAGATTTGAAGATTTCGTTGGAAACGGGAATATCTTCATATCAAATCTAGACAGAAGCATTCTCAGAAACGTCTTTGCGATGTTTGCATTCAACTCATAGAGTTGAACATTCCGTTTCAGAGAGCAGCTTTGAGGCACTCTTTTTGTAGTATGTGCAAGTGGATATTTGGAGCGCTCTGAGGCCTACGGTGAAAAAGCAAATATCATCCCATAACCACTAGACAGAAACATTCTCAGAAACTCCTTTATGATGTATGCGCTCACCTAACAGAGAAGAACCTTCCTTTTGACAGAGCACTTTTGATACACTCTTTTTGTAGAATCTGCAAGTGGATATTTGGATAGCTGTGAAGATTTCGTTGGAAACGGGAATATCTTCCTATAAAATCTAGACAGAAGCATTCTCAGAAACCGCTCTGTGATGTCTGCATTCAAGTCACAGAGTTGAACATTGCCTTTCATAGAGCAGGTTTGAAACGCTCTTTTTGTAGTATATGGAAGTGGATGTTTCGGACGGTTGGAGGCCCATGGTGATAAAGGGAATATCTTCCCCTACAAGCTAGAAAGAAGCATTCTGTGAAACTTGTTTGTGATGTGTCTACTCAACTAACAGAGTTGAACCTTTCTTTTTACAGAGCAGTTTTGAAACACTCTTTTTGTAGAATCTGCGAGGGGATATTTGGATACATTTCAGGATTTCGTTGGAAACGGGAATATCTTCATATAAAATCTCGACAGAAGCATTCTCAGAAACTTCCTTGTGATATGTGCATTCAAGTCACAGAGTTGAATATTCCCTTTCACAGAGTAGGTTTGAAACACTCTTTTTGTAGTATCTGGAAGTGGACATTTGGAGCACCTTGACGCCTACGGTGAAAAGGGAAATATCTTCCCATAAAAACTAGACAGAAGCAATCTCAGAATCTTCTTTGGGATATATGCACGCAGCTAACAGAGTTGAACCTTTCTATTGACAGAGCAGTTTTGAAACAGTCTTTCTGTGGAATCTGCAAGTGGATATTTCGATAGCTTGGAGGATTTCGTTGGAAACGGGATTACGTATAAAAAGTAGACAGCAGCATCCTCAGAAACTTCTTTGTGATGTGTGCATTCAAGTCACAGAGTTGAACATTCCCTTTCGTACAGCAGTTTTGAAACACTCTTTCTGTAGCATCTGGAAGTGAACATTAGGACAGCTTTCAGGTCTATGTTGAGAAAGGAAATATCTTCAAATAAAAACTAGACAGAAGCATTCTCATAAACTTCTTTGTGATGTGTGAACTCAGCTAACAGAGGTGGATCTTTCTTTTGATAGAGCAGTTCTGAAAAACACTTTTTGTTGAATCTGCAAGTGGACATTTGGATAGATATGAAGATTTCGTTGGAAACGGGAATATCTTCATATCAAATCTAGACAGAAGCATTCTCAGAAACGTCTTTGCGATGTTTGCATTCAACTCATAGAGTTGAACATTCCGTTTCAGAGACCAGCTTTGAAGCACTCTTTTTGTAGTATGTGCAAGTGGATATTTGGAGCGCTCTGAGGCCTACGGTGAAAAAGCAAATATCTTCCCATAACCACTAGACAGAAACATTCTCAGAAACTCCTTTATGACGTATGCACTCACCTAACAGAGAAGAACCTTCCTTTTGACAGAGCAGTTTTGATACACTCTTTTTGTAGAATCTGCAAGTGGATATTTGGATAGCTGTGAAGATTTCGTTGGAAACGGGAATATATTCCTATAAAATCTAGACAGAAGCATTCTCAGAAACTGCTCTGTGATGTCTGCATTCAAGTCACAGAGTTGAACATTGCCTTTCATAGAGCAGGTTTGAAACGCTCTTTTTGTAGTATATAAAAGTGGACGTTTCGGACGGTTTGAGGCCCATGGTCATAAAGGGAATATCTTCCCATACAAGCTAGAAAGAAGCATTCTGAGAAACTAGTTTGTGATGTGTGTATTCAACTAACAGCGGTGAACCTTTCTTTTTACAGAGCTGTTTTGGAAAACTCTTTTTGTAGAATCTGCGAGGGGATATTTGCATAGGTTTCAGGATTTCGTTGGAAACGGGAATAACTTCATATAAAATCTCGACAGAAGCATTCTCAGAAACTTCTTTGTGATATCTGCCTTCAAGTCACAGAGTTGAATATTCCCTTTCACAGAGTAGGTTTGTAACACTCTTTTTGTAGTATCTGGAAGTGGACATTTGGAGCGCCTTGACGCCTACGGTGAAAAGGGAAATATCTTCCCATAAAAACTAGACAGAAGCAATCTCAGAATCTTCTTTGGGATATATGCACGCAGCTAACAGAGTTGAACCTTTCTATTGACAGAGCAGTTTTGAAACAGTCTTTCTGTGGAATCTGCAAGTGGATATTTGGATAGCTTGGAGGGTTTCGTTGGAAACGGGATTACGTATAAAAAGTAGACAGCAGCATCCTCAGAAACTTCTTTGTGATGTGTGCATTCAAGTCACAGAGTTGAACATTCCCTTTCGTACAGCAGTTTTGAAACACTCTTTCTGTAGTATCTGGAAGTGAACATTAGTACAGCTTTCAGGGCTATGGTCAGAAAGGAAATATCTTCAAATAAAAACTAGACAGAAGCATTCTCATAAACTTGTTTGTGATGTGTGAACTCAGCTAACGCACGTGGATCTTTCTTTTGATAGAGCAGTTCTGAAAAACACTTTTTGTTGAATCTGCAAGTGGACATTTGGATAGATTTGAAGATTTCGTTGGAAACGGGAATATCTTCATATCAAATCTAGACAGAAGCATTGTCAGAAACGTCTTTGTCATGTTTGCATTCAACTCTTAGAGTTGAACATTCCGTTTCAGAGAGCAGCTTTGAAGCACTCTTTTTGTAGTATGTGCAAGCGGATATTTGGAGCGCTCTGAGGCCTACGGTGAAAAAGCAAATATCTTCCCATAACCACTAGACAGAAACATTCTCAAAAACTCCTTTATGACGTATGTACTCAACTGACAGAGAAGAACTTTCCTTTTGACGGAGCATTTTTGATACACTCTTTTTGTACTGTCTGCAAGTGGATATTTGGATAGCTGTGAAGATTTCGTTGGAAACGGGAATATCTTCCTATAAAACCTAGACAGAAGCATTCTCAGAAACTGCTCTGTGATGTCTGCATTCAAGTCACAGAGTTGAACATTGCCTTTCATAGAGCAGGTTTGAAACGCTCTTTTTGTAGTATATGGAAGTGGACGTTTCGGAGGGTTTGAGGCCCATGGTGATAAAGGGAATATCTTCCCCTACAAGCTAGAAAGAAGAATTCTGTGAAACTTGTTTGTGATGTGTGTACTCAACTAACAGAGTTGAACCTTTCTTTTTACAGAGCAGTTTTGAAACACTCTTTTTGTAGAATCTGCGAGGGGATATTTGGATAGATTTCAGGATTTCGTTGGAAACGGGAATATCTTCATATAAAATCTCGACAGAAGCATTCTCAGAAACTTCTTTGTGATATCTGCATTCAAGTCACAGAGTTGAATATTCCCTTTCACAGAGTAGGTTTGAAACACTCCTTTTGTAGTATCTGGAAGTGGACATTTGGATCGCCTTGACACCTACGGTGAAAAGGGAAATATCTTCTCATAAAAACTAGACAGAAGCAATCTCAGAATCTTCTTTGGGATATATGCACGCAGCTAACAGATTTGCACCTTTCTATTGACAGAGCAGTTTTGAAACAGTCTTTCTGTGGAATCTGCAAGTGGATATTTGGATAGCTTGGAGGATTTCGTTGGAAACGGGATTACGCATAAAAAGTAGACAGCAGCATCCTCAGAAACTTCTTTGTGATGTGTGCATTCAAGTCACAGATTTGAACATTCCCTTTTGTACACCAGTTTTGAAAGACTCTTTCTGTAGCATCTGGAAGTGAACATTAGGACAGCTTTCAGGTCTATGGTGAGAAAGGAAATATCTTCAAATAAAAACTAGACAGAAGCATTCTGATAAACTTGTTTGTGAAGTGTGATCTCAGCTAACAGAGGTGGATCTTTCTTTTGATAGAGCAGTTCTGAAAAACACTTTGTTGAATCTGCAAGTGGACATTTGTATAGATTTGAAGATTTCGTTGGAAACGGGAATTTCTTCATATCAAATCTAGATAGAAGCAATCTCAGAAACGTCTTTGTGATGTTTGCATTCAACTCATAGAGTTGAACATTCCGTTTCAGAGAGCAGCTTTGAAGCACTCTTTTTGTAGTATGTGCAAGCGGATATTTGGAGCGCTCTGAGGCCTACGGTGATAAAGCAAATATCTTCCCATAACCACTAGACAGAAACATTCTCAGAAACTCCTTTATGACGTATGCACTCACCTAACAGAAAAGAACCTTCCTTTTGACAGAGCAGTTTTGATACAATCTTTTTGTAGAATCTGCAAGTGGATATTTGGATAGCTGTGAAGATTTCGTTGGAAACGGGAATATCTTCCTATAAAATCTAGACAGAAGCATTCTCAGAAACTGCTCTGTGATGTCTGCATTCAAGTCACAGAGTTGAACATTGCCTTTCATAGAGCAGGTTTGAAACGCTCTTTTTGTAGTATATGGAAGTGGACTTTTCGGACGGTTTGAGGCCCATGGTGATAAAGGGAATATCTTCCCCTACAAGCTAGAAAGAAGCATTCTGTGAAACTTGTTTGTGATGTGTGTACTCAACTCACAGGAGTTGAACCTTTCTTTTTACAGAGCAGTTTTGAAACACTCTTTTTGTAGAATCTGCGAGGGCATATTTGGATAGATTTCAGGATTTCGTTGGAAAGGGGAATATCTTCATATAAAATCTCGACAGAAGCATTCTCAGAAACTTCTCTGTGATATGTGCATTGAAGTCACCGAGTTAAATATTCCCTTCCACACAGTAGGTTTGAAACACTCTTTTTTTGTAGTATCTGGAAGTGGAAATTTGGAGCGCTTTGATGCCTATGGTGAAAAAGGAAATATCTTCCAATAAAAACTAGTCAGAAGCAATCTCAGAATCTTCTTTGGGATATATGCACGCAGCTAACAGAGTTGAACCTTTCTATTGACAGAGCAGTTTAGAAACAGTCCTTCTGTGGAATCTGCAAGTGGATATTTGGATAGCTTGGAGGATTTCTTTGGAAACCGGGATTACGTATAAAAAGTAGACAGCAGCATCCTCAGAAACTTCTTTGTGATGTGTGCATTCAAGTCACAGAGTTGAGCATTCCCTTTCGTACAGCAGTTTTGAAACACTCTTTCTGTAGTATCTGGAAGTGAACATTAGGACAGCTTTCAGCTCTATGGTGAGAAAGGAAATATCTTCAAATAAAAACTAGACAGAAGCATTCTCATAAACTTGTTTGTGATGTGTGAACTCAGCTAAGAGAGGTGGATCTTTCTTTTGATAGAGCAGTTCTGAAAAACACTTTTTGTTGAATCCGCAAGTGGACATTTGGATAGATTTGAAGATTTCGTTGGAAACGGGAATATCTTCATATCAAACCTAGACAGAAGCATTCTCAGAAACGTCTTTGTGATGTTTGCATTCAACTCATAGAGTTGAACATTCCCTTTCAGAGAGCAGCTTTGAAGCACTCTTTTTGTAGTATGTGCAAGGGGATATATGGAGCGCTCTGAGGCCTAAGGTGAAAAAGCAAATATCTTCCCATAACCACTAGACAGAAACATTCTCAGAAACTCCTTTATGACATATGTACTCAACTAACAGAGAAGAACCTTCCTTTTGACAGAGCAGTTTTGATACACTCTTTTTGTAGAATCTGCAAGTGGATATTTGGATAGCTGTGAAGATTTCGTTGGAAACGGGAATATCTTCCTATAAAATCTAGACAGAAGCATTCTCAGAAACTGCTCTGTGATGTCTGGATTCAAGTCACAGAGTTGAACATTGCCGTTCATAGAGCAGGTTTGAAACACTCTTTTTGTAGTATATGGAAGTGGACGTTTCGGACGGTTTGAGGCCCATGGTGATAAAGGGAATATCTTCCCATACAAGCTAGAAAGAAGCATTCTGTGAAACTTGTTTGTGATGTGTGTACTCATCTAACAGAGTTGAACCTTTCTTTTTACAGAGCAGTTTTGAAACACTCTTTTTGTAGAATCTGCGTGGGGATATTTGGATAGATTTCAGGATTTCGTTGGAAACGGGAATATCTTCATATAAAATCTCGACAGAAGCATTCTCAGAAACTTCTTTGTGATATCTGCATTCAAGTCACAGAGTTGAATATTCCCTTTCACAGAGTAGGTTTGAAACACTCTTTTTGTAGTATCTGGAAGTGGACATTTTGAGCGCCTTGACACCTACGGTGAAAAGGGAAATATCTTCCCATAAAAACTAGACAGAAGCAATCTCAGAATCTTCTTTGGGATATATGCACGCAGCTAACAGAGTTGAACCTTTCTATTGACAGAGCAGTTTTGAAACAGTCTTTCTGTGGAATCTGCAAGTGCATATTTGGATAGCTTGGAGGATTTCGTTGTAAACGGGATTACGTATAAAAATTAGACAGCAGCATCCTCAGAAACTTCTTTGTGATGTGTGCATTCAAGTCACAGAGTTGAACATTCCCTTTCGTACAACAGTTTTGAAACACTCTTTCTGTAGCATCTGGAAGTGAACATTTGGACAGCTTTCAGGTCTATGGTGAGAAAGGAAATATCTTCAAATAAAAACTAGACAGAAGCATTCTCATAAACTTGTTTGTGATGTGTAAACTCAGCTAACAGAGGTGGATCTTTCTTTTGATAGAGCAGTTCTGAAAAACACTTTTTGTTGAATCTGCAAGTGGACATTTGGATAGATTTGAAGATTTCGTTGGAAACGGGAATATCTTCATATCAAATCTAGACAGAAGCATTCTCAGAAACGTCTTTGTGATGTTTGCATTCAACTCATAGAGTTGAACGTTCCGTTTCAGAGACCAGCTTTGAAGCACTCTTTTTGTAGTATGTGCAAGTGGATATTTGGAGCGCTCTGAGGCCTACGGTGAAAAAGCAAATATCTTCCCATAACCACTAGACAGAAACATTCTCAGAAACTCCTTTATGACGTATATACTCAACTAACAGAGAAGAACCTTCCTTTTGACAGAGCAGTTTTGATACACTCTTTTTGTAGAATCTGCAAGTGGATATTTGGATAGCTGTGAAGATTTCGTTGGAAACGGGAATATCTTCCTATAAAATCTAGACAGAAGTATTCTCAGAAACAGCTCTGTGATGTCTGCATTCAAGTCACAGAGTTGAACATTGCCTTTCATAGAGCAGGTTTGAAACGCTCTTTTTGTAGTATATGTAACTGGAGGTTTCGGACGGTTTGAGGCCCATGGTGATAAAGGGAATATCTTCCCCTACAAGCTAGAAAGAAGCATTCTGTGAAACTTGTTTGTGATGTGTGTACTCAACTAACAGTGTTGAACCTTTCTTTTTACAGAGTAGTTTTGAAACACTATTTTTGTAGAATCTGCGAGGGGATATTTGGATAGATTTCAGGATTTCGTTGGAAACGGGAATATCTTCATATAAAATCTCGACAGAAGCATTCTCAGAAACTTCTTTGTGATATCTGCATTCAAGTCACAGAGTTGAATATTCCCTTTCACAGAGTAGGTTTGAAACACTCTTTTTATAGTATCTGGAAGTGGACATTTGGAGCGCCTTGACACCTACGGTGAAAAGGGAAATATCTTCCCATAAAAACTAGACAGAAGCAATCTCAGAATCTTCTTTGGGATATATGCACGCAGCTAACAGAGTTGAACCTTTCTATTGACACAGCAGTTTAGAAACAGTCTTTCTGTGGAATCTGCAAGTGGATATTGGGATAGCTTGGAGGATTTCGTTGGAAACGGGATTACGTATAAAAAGTAGACAGCAGCATCCTCAGAAACTTCTTTGGGATGTGTGCATTCAAGTCACAGAGTTGAACATTCCCTTTCGTACAGCAGTTTTGAAACACTCTTTCTGTAGTATCTGGAAGTGAACATTAGGACAGCTTTCAGGTCTATGGTGAGAAAGGAAATATCTTCAAATAAAAACTAGACAGAAGCATTCTCATAAACTTGTTTGTGATGTGTGAACTCAGCTAACAGAGGTGGATCTTTCTTTTGATAGAGCAGTTCTGAAAAACACTTTTTGTTGAATCTGCAAGTGGACATTCGGATAGATTTGAAGATTTCATTGGAAACGGGAATATCTTCATATCAAATCTAGACAGAAGCATTCTCAGAAACGTCTTTGTGATGTTTGCATTCAACTCATAGAGTTGAACATTCCCTTTCAGAGAGCAGCTTTGAAGCACTCTTTTTGTAGTATGTGCAAGGGGATATTTGGAGCGCTCTGAGGCCTAAGGTGAAAAAGCAAATATCTTCCCATAACCACTAGACAGAAACATTCTCAGAAACTCCTTTATGACGTACGCACTCACCTAACAGAGAAGAACCTTCCTTTTGACAGAGCAGTTTTGATACACTCTTTTTGTAGAATCTGCAAGTGGATATTTGGATAGCTGTGAAGATTTCATTGGAAACGGGAATATCTTCCTATAAAATCTAGACAGAAGCATTCTCAGAAACTGCTCTGTGATGTCTGCATTCAAGTCACAGAGTTGAACATTGCCTTTCATAGAGCAGGTTTGAAACGCTCTTTTTGTAGTATATGGAAGTGGACGTTTCGGACGGTTTAAGGCCCATGGTGATAAAGGGAATATCTTCCCCTACTAGCTAGAAAGAAGCATTCTGTGAAACTTGTTTCTGATGTGTGTACTCAACTAACAGAGTTGAACCTTTCTTTTCACAGAGCAGTTTTGAAACACTCTTTTTGTAGAATCTGCGAGCGGATATTTGGATAGATTTCAGGATTTCGTTGGAAACGGGAATATCTTCATATAAAATCTCGACAGAAGCATTCTCAGAAACTTCTTTGTGATATCTGCATTCAAGTCACAGAGTTGAATATTCCCTTTCACCGAGTAGGTTTGAAAAACTCTTTTTGTAGTATCTGGAAGTGGACATTTGGAGCGCCTTGACGCCTACGGTAAAAAGGGAAATATCTTCCCATAAAAACTAGACAGAAGCAATCTCAGAATCTTCTTTGGGATATATGCACGCAGCTAACAGAGTTGAACCTTTCTATTGACAGAGCAGTTTTGAAACAGTCTTTCTGTGGAATCTGCAATTGGATATTTGGATAGCTTGGAGGATTTCGTTGGAAACGGGATTACGTATAAAAAGTAGACAGCAGCATCCTCCGAAACTTCTTTGTGATGTGTGCATTCAAGTCCCAGAGTTGAACATTCCCTTTCGTACAGCAGTTTTGAAACACTCTTTCTGTAGTATCTGGAAGTGAACATTAGGACAGCTTTCAGCTCTATGGTGAGAAAGGAAATATCTTCAAATAAAAACTAGACAGAAGCATTCTGATAAACTTGTTTGTGATGTGTGAACTCAGCTAACAGAGGTGGATCTTTCTTTGGTACAGCAGTTTTGAAAAACACTTTGTTGAATCTGCAAGGGGACATTTGGATAGATTTGAAGATTACGTTGGAAACGGGAATATCTTCATATCAAATCTAGACAGAAGCATTCTCAGAAACGTCTTTGTGATGTTGGCATTCAACTCATAGAGTTGAACATTCCGTTTCAGAGAGCAGCTTTGAAGCACTCTTTTTGTAGTATGTGCAAGTGGATATTTGGAGCGCTCTGAGGCCTAAGGTGCAAAAGCAAATATCTTCCCGTAACCAGTAGACAGAAACATTCTCAGAAACTCCTTTATGACGTATGTACTCAACTAACAGAGAAGAATCTTCCTTTTGACAGAGCAGTTTTGATACACTCTTTTTGTAGAATCTGCAAGTGGATATTTGGATAGCTGTGAAGGTTTCGTTGGAAACGGAAATATCTTCCTATAAAATCTACACAGAAGCATTCTCAGAAACTGCTCTGTGATGTCTGTATTCAAGTCACAGAGTTGAACATTGCCTTTCATAGAGCAGGTTTGAAACGCTCTTTTTGTAGTATATGGAAGTGGATGTTTCGGACGGTTGGAGGCCCATGGTGATAAAGGGAATATCTTCCCCTACAAGCTAGAAAGAAGCATTCTGTGAAACTTGTTTGTGATGTGTGTACTCAACTAACAGAGTTGAACCTTTCTTTTCACAGAGCAGTTTTGAAACACTCTTTTTGTAGAATTTGCGAGGGGATATTTGGATAGATTTCAGGATTTCGTTGGAAACGGGAATATCTTCATACAAAATCTCGACAGAAGCATTCTCAGAAACTTCTTTGTGATATGTGCATTCAAGTCACAGAGTTGAATATTCTCTTTCACAGAGTAGGTTTGAAACACTCTTTTTGTAGTATCTGGAAGTGGACATTTGGAGTGCCTTGACACCTACGGTGAAAAGGGAAATATCTTCCCATAAAAACTAGACAGAAGCAATCTCAGAATCTTCTTTGGGATACATGCACGCAGCTAACAGAGTTGAACCTTTCTATTGACAGAGCAGTTTTGAAACAGTCTTTCTGTGGAATCTGCAAGTGGATATTTGGATAGCTTGGAGGATTTCGTTGGAAACGGGATTAAGTATAAAAAGTAGACAGCCGCATCCTCAGAAACTTCTTTGTGATGTGTGCATTCAAGTCCCAGAGTTGAACATTCCCTTTCGTACAGCAGTTTTGAAACACTCTTTCTGTAGTATCTGGAAGTGAACATTAGGACAGCTTTCAGGTCTATGGTGAGAAAGGAAATATCTTCAAATAAAAACTAGACAGAAGCATTCTCATAAACTTGTTTGTGATGTGTGAACTCAGCTAACAGAGGTGGATCTTTCTTTTGATAGAGCAGTTCTGAAAAACACTTTTTGTTGAATCTGCAAGTGGACATCTGGATAGATTTGAAGATTTCGTTGGAAACGGGAATATCTTCATATCAAATCTAGACAGAAGCATTCTCAGAAACGTCTTTGTGATGTTTGCATTCAACTCATAGAGTTGAACATTCCGTTTCAGAGAGCAGCTTTGAAGCACTCTTTTTGTAGTATGTGCAAGTGGATATTTTGAGCGCTCTGAGGCCCACGGTGAAAAAGCAAATATCTTCCCATAACCACTAGACAGAAACATTCTCAGAAACTCCTTTATGACGTATGCACTCACCTAACAGAGAAGAACCTTCCTTTTGACAGAGCAGTTTTGATACACTCTTTTTGTAGAATCTGCAAGTGGATATTTGGATAGCTGTGAAGATTTCGTTGGAAACGGGAATATCCTCCTATAATATCTAGACAGAAGCATTCTCAGAAACTGCTCTGTGATGTCTGTATTCAAGTCACAGAGTTGAACATTGCCTTTCATAGAGCAGGTTTGAAACGCTCTTTTTGTAGTATATGGAAGTGGATGTTTCGGACGGTTTGAGGCCCATGGTGATAAAGGGAATATCTTCCCCTACAAGCTAGAAAGAAGCATTCTGTGAAACTTGTTTGTGATGTGTGTACTCAAGTAACAGAGTTGAACCTTTCTTTTTACAGAGCAGTTTTGAAACACTCTTTCTGTAGAATCTGCGAGGGGATATTTGGATAGATTTCAGGATTTCGTTGGAAACGGGAATATCTTCATATAAAATCTCGACAGAAGCATTTTCAGAAACTTCTTTGTGATATGTGCATTCAAGTCACAGAGTTGAATATTCCCTTTCACAGAGTACGTTTGAAACACTCTTTTTGTTGTATCTGGAAGTGGACATTTGGAGCGCCTTGACGCCTACGGTGAAAAGGGAAATATCTTCCCATAAAAACTAGACAGAAGCAATCTCAGAATCTTCTTTGGGATATATGCACGCAGCTAACAGAGTTGAACCTTTCTATTGACAGAGCAGTATTGAAACAGTCTTTCTGTGGAATCTGCAAGTGGATATTTGGATAGCTTGGAGGATTTCGTTGGAAACGGGATTACGTATAAAAAGTAGACAGCAGCATCCTCAGAAACATCCTTGTAATGTGTGCATTCAAGTCACAGAGTTGAACATTCCCTTTCGTACAGCAGTTTTGAAACACTCTTTCTGTAGTATCTGGAAGTGAACTTTAGGACAGCTTTCAGGTCTATCGTGAGAAAGGATATATCTTCAAATAAAAACTAGACAGAAGCATTCTGATAAACTTGTTTGTGAAGTGTGAACTCAGCTAACAGAGGTGGATCTTTCTTTTGATAGAGCAATTCTGAAAAACACTTTGTTGAATCTGCAAGTGGACATTTGGATAGATTTGAAGATTTCGTTGGAAACGGGAATATCTTCATATCAAATCTAGACAGAAGCATTCTCAGAAACGTCTTTGTGATGTTGGCATTCAACTCATAGAGTTGAACATTCCGTTTCAGAGAGCAGCTTTGAAGCACTCTTTTTGTAGTATGTGCAAGGGGATATTTTGAGCGCTCTGAGGCCTAAGGTGAAAAAGCAAATATCTTCCCATAACCACTAGACAGAAACATTCTCAGAAACTCCTTTATGACGTATGCACTCACCTAACAGAGAAGAACCTTCCTTTTGACAGAGCAGTTTTGATACACTCTTTTTGTAGAATCTGCAAGTTTATATTTGGATAGCTGTGAAGATTTCGTTGGAAACGGGAATATCTTCCTATAAAATCTAGACAGAAGCATTCTCAGAAACTGCTCTGTGATGTCTGCATTCAAGTCACAGAGTTGAACATTGTCTTTCATAGAGCAGGTTTGAAGCGCTCTTTTTGTAGTATATGGAAGTGGACGTTTCGGACGGTTTGAGGCCCATGGTGATAAAGGGAATATCTTCCCCTACAAGCTAGAAAGAAGCATTCTGTGAAACTTGTTTGTGATGTGTGTACTCAACTAACAGAGTTGAACCTTTCTTTTTACAGAGCAGTTTTGAAACACTCTTTTTGTAGAATCTGCGAGGGGATATTTGGATAGATTTCAGGATTTCGTTGGAAACGGGAAGATCTTCATATAAAATCTCGACAGAAGCATTCTCAGAAACTTCCTTGTGATATGTGCATTCAAGTCACAGAGTTGAATATTCCCTTTCACAGAGTAGGTTTGAAACACTCTTTTTGTAGTATCTGGAAGTGGTCATTTGGAGCGCCTTGACGCCCACGGTGAAAAGGGAAATATCTTCCCATAAAACTAGACAGAAGCAATCTCAGAATCTTCTTTGGGATATATGCATGCAGCTAACAGAGTTGAACCTTTCTATTGACAGAGCAGTTTTGAAACAGTCTTACTGTGGAATCTGCAAGTGGATATTTGGATAGCTTGGAGGATATCTTTGGAAACGGGATTACGTATAAAAAGTAGACAGCAGCATCCTCAGAAACTTCTTTGTGATGTGTGCATTCAAGTCACAGAGTTGAACATTCCCTTTCGTACAGCAGTTTTGAAACACTCTTTCTGTAGTATCTGGAAGTGAACATTAGGACAGCTTTCAGGTCTATGGTGAGAAAGGAAATATCTTCAAATAAAAACTTGAGAGAAGCATTCTCATAAATTTGTTTGTGATGTGTGAACTCAGCTAACAGAGGTGGATCTTTCTTTTGATAGAGCAGTTCTGAAAAACACTTTTTGTTGAATCTGCAAGTGGACATTTGGATAGATTTGAAGATTTCGTTGGAAACGGGAATATCTTCATATCAAATGCTAGACAGAAGCATTCTCAGAAACGTCTTTGCGATGTTTGCATTCAACTCATAGAGTTGAACATTCCGTTTCAGAGAGCAGCTTTGAGGCACTCTTTTTGTAGTATGTGCAAGTGGATATTTGGAGCGCTCTGAGGCCTACGGTGAAAAAGCAAATATCCTTCCCATAACCACTAGACAGAAACATTCTCAGAAACTCCTTTATGACGTATGCACTCACCTAACAGAGAAGAACCTTCCTTTTGACTGAGCACTTTTGATACACTCTTTTTGCAGAATCTGCAAGTGGATATTTGGATAGCTGTGAAGATTTCGTTGGAAACGGGAATATCTTCCTATAAAATCTAGACAGAAGCATTCTCAGAAACTGCTCTGTGATGTCTGCATTCAAGTCACAGAGTTGAACATTGCCTTTCCTAGAGCAGGTTTGAAACGCTCTTTTTGTAGTATATGGAACTGGATGTTTCGGACGGTTTGAGGCCCATGGTGATAAAGGGAATATCTTCCCCTACAAGCTAGAAAGAAGCATTCTGTGAAACTTGTTTGTGATGTGCGTACTCAACTAACAGAGTTGAACCTTTCTTTTTACAGAGCAGTTTTGAAACACTCTTTTTGTAGAATCTGCGAGGGGATATTTGGATACATTTCAGGATTTCGTTGGAAACGGGAATATCTTCATATAAAATCTCGACAGAAGCATTCTCAGAAGCTTCTTTGTGATATGTGCATTCAAGTCACAGAGTTGAATATTCCCTTTCACAGAGTAGGTTTGAAACACTCTTTTTGTAGTATCTGGAAGTGGACATTTGGAGCGCCTTGACGCCTACGTTGAAAAGGGAAATATCTTCTCATAAAAAGTAGACAGAAGCAATCTCAGAATCTTCTTTAGGATATATGCACGCAGCTAACAGAGTTGAACCTTTCTATTGACAGAGCAGTTTTGAAACAGTCTTTCTGTGGAATCTGCAAGTGGATATTTGGATAGCTTGGAGGATTTCGTTGGAAACGGGATTAAGTATAAAAAGTAGACAGCAGCATACTCAGAAACTTCTTTGTGATGTGTGCATTCAAGTCACAGAGTTGAACATTCCCTTTCGTACAGCAGTTTTGAAACACTCTTTCTGTAGTATCTGGAAGTGAACATTAGGACAGCTTTCAGCTCTATGGTGAGAAAGGAAATATCTTCAAATAAAAACTAGACAGAAGCATTCTCATAAACTTGTTTGTGATGTGTGAACTCAGCTAACAGAGGTGGATCTTTCTTTTGATAGAGCAGTTCTGAAAAACACTTTTTTTTGAATCTGCAAGTGGACATTTGGATAGATTTGAAGATTTCGTTGGAAACGGGAATATCTTCATATCAAATCTAGACAGAAGCATTCTCAGAAACGTCTTTGTGATGTTTGCATTCAACTCATAGAGTTGAACATTCCGTTTCAGAGAGCAGGTTTGAAACACTCTTTTTGTAGTATGTGCAAGTGGATATTTGGAGCGCTCCGAGGCCTACGGTGAAAAAGCAAATATCTTCCCATAACCACTAGACAGAAACCTTCTCAGAAACTCCTTTATGACGTATGCACTCACCTAACAGAAAAGAACCTTCCTTTTGACAGAGCAGTTTTGATACACTCTTTTTGTAGAATCTGCAAGTGGATATTTGGATAGCTGTGAAGATTTCGTTGGAAACGGGAATATCTTCCTATAAAATCTAGACAGAAGCATTCTCAGAAACTGCTCTGTGATGTCTGCATTCAAGTCACAGAGTTGAACATTGCCTTTCATAGAGCAGGTTTGAAACGCTCTTTTTGTAGTATATGGAAGTAGACGTTTCGGACGGTTTGAGACCCATGGTGATAAAGGGAATATCTTCCCCTACAAGCTAGAAAGAAGCATTGTGTGAAACTTGTTTGTGATGTGTGTACTCAACTAACAGAGTTGAACCTTTCTTTTTACAGAGCAGTTTTGAAACACTCTTTTTGTAGAATCTGCGAGGGGATATTTGGATAGATTTCAGGATTTCGTTGTAAACGAGAATATCTTCATATAAAATCTCGACAGAAGCATTCTCAGAAACTTCCTTGTGATATGTGCATTCAAGTCACAGAGTTGAATATTCCCTTTCATAGAGTAGGTTTGAAACACTCTTTTTGTAGTATCTGGAAGTGGACATTTGGAGCGCCTGGACGCCTACGGTGAAAAGGGAAATATCTTCCCATAAAAACTAGACAGAAGCAATCTCAGAATCTTCTTTGGGATATATGCACGCAGCTAACAGAGTTGAACCTTTCTATTGACAGAGCAGTTTTGAAACAGTCTTTCTGTGGAATCTGCAAGTGGATATTTGGACAGCTTGGAGGATTTCGTTGGAAACGGGATTAAGTATAAAAAGTAGACAGCAGCATCCTCAGAAACTTCTTTGTGATGTGTGCATTCAAGTCACAGAGTTGAACATTCCCTTTCGTACAGCAGTTTTGAAACACTCTTTCTGTAGTAACTGGAAGTGAACACTAGGACAGCTTTCAGGTCTATGGTGAGAAAGGAAATATCTTCAAATAAAAACTAGACAGAAGCATTCTCATAAACTTGTTTTGTGATGTGTGAACTCAGCTAACAGAGGTGGATCTTTCTTTTGATAGAGCAGTTCTGAAAAACACTTTTTGTTGAATCTGCAAGTGGACATTTGGATAGATTTGAAGATTTCGTTGGAAACGGGAATATCTTCATATCAAATCTAGACAGAAGCATTCTCAGAAACGTCTTTGCGATGTTTGCATTCAACTCATAGAGTTGAACATTCCGTTTCAGAGAGCAGCTTTGAGGCACTCTTTTTGTAGTATGTGCAAGTGGATATTTGGAGCGCCCTGAGGCCTACGGTGAAAAAGCAAATATCTTCCCATAACCACTAGACAGAAACATTCTCAGAAACTCCTTTATGACCTATGCACTCACCTATAAGAGAAGAACCTTCCTTTTGACAGAGCAGTTTTGATACACTCTTTTTGTAGAATCTGCAAGTGGATATTTGGATAGCTGTGAAGATTTCGTTGGAAACGGGAATATCTTCCTATAAAATCTAGACAGAAGCATTCTCAGAAACTGCTCTGTGATATCTGCATTCAAGTCACAGAGTTGAACATTGCTTTTCATAGAGCAGGTTTGAAACGCTCTTTTTGTAGTATATGGAAGTAGACGTTTCGGACGGTTTGAGGCCCATGGTGATAAAGGGAATATCTTCCCCTACAAGCTAGAAAGAAGCATTCTGTGAAACTTGTTTGTGATGTGTGTACTCAACTAACAGAGTTGAACTTTTCTTTTCACAGAGCAGTTTTGAAACACTCTTTTTGTAGAATCTGCGAGGGGATATTTGGATAGATTTCAGGATTTCGTTGGAAACGGGAATATCTTCATATAAAATCTCGACAGAAGCATTGTCAGAAACTTCTTTGTGATATGTGCATTCAAGTCACAGAGTTGAATATTCCCTTTCACAGAGTAGGTTTGAAACACTCTTTTTGTAGTATCTGGAATTGGACATTTGGAGCGCCTTGACACCTACGGTGAAAAGGGAAATATCTTCCCATAAAAACTAGACAGAAGCAATCTCAGAATCTTCTTTGGGATATATGCACGCAGCTAACAGAGTTGAACATTTCTATTTACAGAGCAGTTTTGAAACAGTCGTTCTGTGGAATCTGCAAGTGGATATTTCGATAGCTTGGAGGATTTCGTTGGAAACGGGATTACGTATCAAAAGTACACAGCAGCATCCTCAGAAACTTCTTTGTGATGTGTGCATTCAAGTCACAGAGTTGAACATTCCCTTTCGTACAGCAGTTTTGAAACACTCTTTCTGTAGTATCTGGAAGTGAACATTAGGACAGCTTTCAGCTCTATGGTGAGAAAGGAAATATCTTCAAATCAAAACTAGACAGAAGCACTCTCATAAACTTGTTTGTGATGTGTGAACTCAGCTAACAGAGGTGGATCTTTCTTTTGATAGAGCAGTTCTGAAAAACACTTTTTGTTGAATCTGCAAGAGGACATTTGGATAGATTTGAAGATTTCGTTGGAAACGGGAATATCTTCATATCAAATCTAGACAGAAGCATTCTCAGAAACGTCTTTGCGATGTTTGCATTCAACTCATAGAGTTGAACATTCCGTTTCAGAGAGCAGCTTTGAAGCACTCTTTTTGTAGCATGTGCAAGTGGATATTTGGAGCGCCCTGAGGCCTACGGGGAAAAAGCAAATATCTTCCCATAACCACTAGACAGAAAACATTCTCAGAAACTCCTTTATGACGTATGTACTCAACTAACAGAGAAGAACCTTCTTTTTGACTGAGCAGTTTTGATACACTCTTTTTGTAGAATCTGCAAGTGCATATTTGGATAGCTGTGAAGATTTCGTTGGAAACGGGAATATCTTCCTATAAAATCTAGACAGAAGCATTCTCAGAAACTGATCTGTGATGTCTGCATTCAAGTCACAGAGTTGAACATTGCCTTTCATAGAGCAGGTTTGAAACGCTCTTTTTGTAGTATATGGAAGTAGACGTTTCGGACGGTTTGAGGCCCATGGTGATAAAGGGAATATCTTCCCCTGCAAGCTAGAAAGAAGCATTCTGTGAAACTTGTTTGTGATGTGTGTACTCAACTAACAGAGTTGAACCTTTCCTTTTACAGAGCAGTTTTGAAACACTCTTTTTGTAGAATCTGCGAGGGGATATTTGGATAGATTTCAGGATTTCGTTGGAAACGGGAGTATCTTCATATAAAATCTCGACAGAAGCATTTTCAGAAACTTCTTTGTGATATGTGCATTCAAGTCACAGAGTTGAATATTCCCTTTCACAGAGTAGGTTTGAAACACTCTTTTTGTAGTATCTGGAAGTGGACATTTGGAGCGCCTTGACGCCTACGGTGAAAAGGGAAATATCTTCCCATAAAAACTAGACAGAAGCAATCTCAGAATCTTTTTTGGGATATATGCACGCAGCTAACAGAGTTGAACCTTTCTATTGACAGAGCAGTTTTGAAACAGTCTTTCTGTGGAATCTGCAAGTGGATATTTGGATAGCTTGGAGGATTTCGTTGGAAACGGGATTACGTATAAAAAGTAGACAGCAGCATCCTCAGCAAACTTCTTTGTGATGTGTGCATTCAAGTCACAGAGTTGAACATTCCCTTTCGTACAGCAGTTTTGAAACACTCTTTCTGTAGTATCTGGAAGTGAACATTAGGACAGCTTTCAGGTCTATGGTGAGAAAGGAAATATCTTCAAATAAAAACTAGACAGAAGCATTCTGATAAACTTGTTTGTGAAGTGTGATCTCAGCTAACAGAGGTGGATCTTTCTTTTGATAGAGCAGTTCTGAAAAACACTTTTTGTTGAATCTGCAAGTGGATATTTGGATAGATTTGAAGATTTCGTTGGAAACGGGAATATCTTCATATTAAATCTAGACAGAAGCATTCTCAGAAACGTCTTTGTGATGTTAGCATTCAACTCATAGAGTTGAACATTCCCTTTCAGAGAGCAGCTTTGAAGCACTCTTTTTGTAGTATGTGCAAGTGGACATTTGGAGCGCTTTGAGGCCTACGGGGAAAAAGCAAATATCTTCCCATAACCACTAGACAGGAACATTCTCAGAAACTCCTTTATGACGTATGCACTCACCTAACAGAGAAGAACCTTCCTTTTGACAGAGCAGTTTTGAGATACTCTTTTTGTAGAATCTGCAAGTGGATATTGGGATAGCTGTGAAGATTTCGTTGGAAACGGGAATATCTTCCTATAAAATCTAGACAGAAGCATTCTCAGAAACTGCTCTGTGATGTCTGCATTCAAGTCATAGAGTTGAACATTGCCTTTCATAGAGCAGGTTTGAAACGCTCTTTTTGTAGTATATGGAAGTGGACGTTTCGGACGGTTTGAGGCCCATGGTGATAAAGGGAATATCTTCCCCTACAAGCTAGAAAGAAGCATTGTGTGAAACTTATTTGTGATGTGTGTACTCAACTAACAGAGTTGAACCTTTCTTTTTACAGAGCAGTTTTGAAACACTCTTTTTGTAGAATCTGCGAGGGGATATTTGGATAGATTTCAGCATTTCGTTGGAAACGGGAATATCTTCATATAAAATACTCGACAGAAGCATTCTCAGAAACTTCCTTGTGATATGTGCATTCAAGTCACAGAGTTGAATATTCCCTTTCACAGAGTAGGTTTGAAACAGTCTTTTTGTAGTATCTGGAAGTGGACATTTGGAGCGCCTTGATGCCTACGGTGAAAAGGGAAATATCTTCCCATAAAAACTAGACAGAAGCAATCTCAGAATCTTCTTTGGGATATATGCACGCAGCTAACAGAGTTGAACCTTTCTATTGACAGAGCAGTTTTGAAACAGTCTTTCTGGGGAATCTGCAAGTGGATATTTGGATAGCTTGGAGGATTTCGTTGGAAACAGGATTACGTATAAAAAGTAGACAGCAGCATCCTCAGGAAACTTCTTTGTGATGTGTGCATTCAAGTGACAGAGTTGAACATTCCCTTTCGTACAGCAGTTTTGAAACACTCTTTCTGTAGTATCTGGAAGTGAACATTAGGACAGCTTTCAGCTCTATGGTGAGAAAGGAAATATCTTCAAATAAAAACTAGACAGAAGTATTCTCATAAACTTGTTTGTGATGTGTGAACTCAGCTAACAGAGGTGGACCTTTCTTTTGATAGAGCAGTTCTGAAAAACACTTTTTGTTGAATCTGCAAGTGGACATTTGGATAGATTTGAAGATTTCGTTGGAAACGGGAATATCTTCATATCAAATCTAGACAGAAGCATTCTCGGAAACGTCTTTGTCATGTTTGCATTCAACTCATAGAGTTGAACATTCCCTTTCAGAGAGCAGCTTTGAAGCACTCTTTTTGTAGTATGTGCAAGGGGATATTTGGAGTGCTCTGAGGCCTACGGTGAAAAAGCAAATATCTTCCCATAAACACTAGACAGAAACATTCTCAGAAACTCCTTTATGACGTATGCACTCACCTAACAGAGAAGAACCTTCCTTTTGACAGAGCAGTTTTGATACACTCTTTTTGTAGAATCTGCAAGTGGATATTTGGATACCTGTGAAGATTTCGATGTAAACGGGAATATCTTCCTATAAAATCTAGACAGAAGCATTCTCAGAAACTGCTCTGTGATGTCTGCTTTCAAGTCACAGAGTTGAACATTGCCTTTCATAGAGCAGGTTTGAAACGCTCTTTTTGTAGTATATGGAAGTGGACTTTTCGGACGGTTTGAGGCCCATGGTGATAAAGGGAATATCTTCCCCTACAAGCTAGAAAGAAGCATTCTGTGAAACTTGTTTGTGATGTGTGTACTCAACTAACAGAGTTGAACCTTTCTTTTTACAGAGCAGTTTTGAAACACTCTTTTTGTAGAATCTGCGAGGGGATATTTGGATAGATTTCAGGATTTCGTTGGAAACGGGAATATCTTCATATAAAATCGCGACAGAAGCATTCTTAGAAACTTTTTGTGATACCTACATTCAAATCAAAGAGTTGAATATTCCCTTTCACACAGTAGGTTTGAAACACTCTTTTTGTAGTATCTGGAAGTGGACATTTGGAGCGCCTTGACGCCTACGGTGAAAAAGGAAATATGTTCCCATAAAAACTAGACAGCAGCAATCTCAGAATCTTCTTTGGGATATATGTACGCAGCTAACAGAGTTGAACTTTTCTATTGACAGAGCAGTTTTGAAACAGTCTTTCTGTTAAATCTGCAAGTGGATATTTGGATAGCTTGGAGGATTTCGTTGGAAACGGGATTACATATAAAAAGTAGACAGCAGCATCCTCAGAAACTTCTTTGTGATGTGTGCATTCAAGTCACACAGTTGAACATTCCCTTTCGTACAGCAGTTTTGAAACACTCTTTCTGTAGTATCTGGAAGTGAACATTAGGACAGCTTTCAGCTCTATGGTGAGAAAGGAAATATCTTCAAATAAAAACTAGACAGAAGCATTCTCATAAACTTGTTTGTGATGTGTGAACTCAGCTAACAGAGGTGGATCTTTCTTTTGATAGAGCAGTTCTGAAAAACACTTTTTGTTGAATATGCAAGTGGACATTTGGATAGATTTGAAGATTTCGTTGGAAACGGGAATATCTTCATATCAAATCTAGACAGAAGCATTCCCAGAAACGTCTTTGTGATGTCTGCATTCAACTCATAGAGTTGAACATTCCCTTTCAGAGAGCAGCTTTGAAGCACTCTTTTTGTAGTATGTGCAAGGGGATAATTGGAGTGCTCTGAGGCCTAGGGTGAAAAAGCAAACATCTTCCCATAACCACTAGACAGAAACATTCTCAGAAACTCCTTTATGACGTATGCACTCACCTAACAGAGAAGAACCTTCCTTTTGACAGAGCAGTTTTGATACACTCTTTTTGTAGAATCTGCAAGTGGATATTTGGATAGCTGTGAAGATTTCGTTGGAAACGGGAATATCTTCCTATAAAATCTAGACAGAAGCATTCTCAGAAACTGCTCTGTGTTGTCTGCATTCAAGTCACAGAGTTGAACATTGCCTTTCATAGAGCAGGTTTGAAACACTCTTTTTGTAGTATATGGAAGTGGACGTTTCGGACGGTTTGAGGCCCATGGTGATTTAGGGAATATCTTCCCCTACAAGCTAGAAAGAAGCATTCTGTGAAACTAGTTTGTGATGTGTGTACTCAACTAACAGTAGTTGAACCTTTCTTTTCACAGGAGCAGTTTTGAAACACTCTTTTTGTAGAATCTGCGAGGGGATATTTGGATAGATTTCAGCATTTCGTTGGAAACGGGAATATCTTCATATAAAATCTCGACAGAAGCATTCTCCGAAACTTCCTTGTGATATGTGCATTCAAGTCACAGAGTTGAATATTCCCTTTCACAGAGTAGGTTTGAAACACTCTTTTTGTAGTATCTGGAAGTGGACATTTGGAGCGCCTTGACGCCTACGGTGAAAAGGGAAATATCTTCCCATAAAAACTAGACAGAAGCAATCTCAGAATCTTCTTTGGGATATATGCACGCAGCTAACAGACTTGAATCTTTCTGTTGACAGAGCAGATTTGAAACAGTCTTTCTGTGGAATCTGCAAGTGGATATTTGGATAGATTGGAGGATTTCGTTGGAAACGGGATTACATATAAAAAGTAGACAGCAGCATCCTCCGAAACTTCTTTGTGATGTGTGCATTCAAGTCACAGAGTTGAACATTCCCTTTCGTACAGCAGTTTTGAAACACTCTTTCTGTAGTATCTGGAAGTGAACATTAGGACAGCGTTCAGCTCTATGGTGAGAAAGGAAATATCTTCAAATAAAAACTAGACAGAAGCATTCTCATAAACTTGTTTGTGATGTGTGAACTCAGCTAACAGAGGTGGATCTTTCTTTTGATAGAGCAGTTCTGAAAAACACTTTTTGTTGAATCTGCAAGTGGACATTTGGATAGATTTGAAGATTTCGTTGGAAACGGGAATACCTTTATATCAAATCTAGACAGAAGCATTCTCAGAAACGTCTTTGTCATGTTTGCATTCAACTCATAGAGTTGAACATTCCCTTTCAGAGAGCAGCTTTGAAAGACTCTTTTTGTAGTATGTGCAAGTGGATATTTGGAGCGCTACTGAGGCCTACGGTGAAAAAGCAAATATCTTCCCATAACCACTAGACAGAAACATTCTCAGAAACTCCTTTATGACGTATGTACTCAACTAACAGAGAAGAACATTCTTTTTGACAGAGCAGTTTTGATACACTCTTTTTGTAGAATCTGCAAGTGCATATTTGGATAGCTGTGAAGATTTCGTTGGAAACGGGAATATCTTCCTATAAAATCTAGACAGAAGCATTCTCAGAAACTGCTCTGTGATGTCTGCATTCAAGTCACAGAGTTGAACATTGCCTTTCATAGAGCAGGTTTGAAACGCTCTTTTTGTAGTATATGGAAGTGGACGTTTTGGACGGTTTGAGGCCCATGGTGATAAAGGGAATATCTTCCCCTACAAGCTAGAAAGAAGCATTCTGTGAAACTTGTTTGTGATGTGTGTACTCAACTAACAGAGTTGAACCTTTCTTTTCACAGAGCAGTTTTGAAACACTCTTTTTGTAGAATCTGCGAGGGGATATTTGGATAGATTTCAGGATTTCGTTGGAAACGGGAATACCTTCATATAAAATCTCGACAGAAGCATTCTCAGAAAGTTCTTTGTGATATGTGCATTGAAGTCACAGAGTTGAATATTCCCTTTCACAGAGTAGGTTTGAAACACTCTTTTTGTAGTATCTGGAAGTGGACATTTGGAGCGCCTTGACACCTACGGTGAAAAGGGAAATATCTTCCCATAAAAACTAGACAGAAGCAATCTCAGAATCTTCTTTGGGATATATGCACGCAGCTAACAGAGTTGAACCTTTCTATTGACAGAGCAGTTTTGAAATAGTCTTTCTGTGGAATCTGCAAGTGGATATTTGGATAGCTTGGAGGATTTCGTTGGAAACGGGATTAGGTATAAAAGTAGACAGCAGCCTCCTCTGAAACTTCTTTGTGATGTGTGCATTCAAGTCACAGAGTTGAACATTCCCTTTCGTACAGCAGTTTTGAAACACTCTTTCTGTAGTATCTGGAAGTGAACATTAGGACAGCTTTCAGGTCTATGGTGAGAAAGGAAATATCTTCAAATAAAAACTAGACAGAAGCATTCTCATAAACTTGTTTGTGATGTGTGAACTCAGCTAACAGAGGTGGATCTTTCTTTTGATAGAGCAGTTCTGAAAAACACTTTTTGTTGAATCTGCAAGTGGACATTTGGATAGATTTGAAGATTTCGTTGTAAACGGGAATATCTTCATATCAAATCTAGACAGAAGCATTCCCAGAAACGTCTTTGTGATGTTTGCATTCAACTCATAGAGTTGAACATTCCGTTTCAGAGAGCAGCTTTGAAGCACTCTTTTTGTAGTATGTGCAAGTGGATATTTGGAGCGCTCTGAGGCCTACGGTGAAAAAGCAAGTATCTTCCCATAACCACTAGACAGAAACATTCTCAGAAACTCCTTTATGACGTATGTACTCAACTAACAGAGAAGAACCTTCCTTTTGACAGAGCAGTTTTGACACACTCTTTTTGTAGAATCTGCAAGTGGATATTTGGATAGCTGTGAAGATTTCGTTGGAAACGGGAATATCTTCCTATAAATTCTAGACAGAAGCATTCTCAGAAACTGCTCTGTGATGTCTGCATTCAAGTCACAGAGTTGAACATTGCCTTTCATAGAGCAGGTTTGAAACGCTCTTTTTGTAGTATATGGAAGTGGATGTTTCGGACAGTTGGAGGCCCATGGTGATAAAGGGAATATCTTCCCCTGCAAGCTAGAAAGAAGCATTCTGTGAAACTTGTTTGTGATGTGTGTACTCAACTAACAGAGTTGAACCTTTCTTTTTACACAGCAGTTTTGAAACACTCTTTTTGTAGAATCTGCGAGGGGATATTTGGATAGATTTCAGGATTTCGTTGGAAACGGGAATACCTTCATATAAAATCTCGACAGAAGCATTCTCAGAAACTTCTTTGTGATATGTGCATTCAAGTCACAGAGTTGAATATTCCCTTTCACAGAGTAGGTTTGAAACACTCTTTTTGTAGTATCTGGAAGTGGACATTTGGAGCGCCTTGACACCTACGGTGAAAAGCGAAATATCTTCCCACAAAAACTAGACAGAAGCAATCTCAGAATCTTCTTTGGGATATATGCACGCAGCTAACAGAGTTGAACCTTTCTATTGACAGAGCAGTTTTGAAACAGTCTTTCTGTGGAATCTGCAAGTGGATATTTGGAAAGCTTGGAGGATTTCGTTGGAAACGGGATTAAGTATAAAAAGTAGACAGCAGCATCCTCAGAAACTTCTTTGTGATGTGTGCATTCAAGTCACAGAGTTGAACATTCCCTTTCGTACAACAGTTTTGAAGCACTCTTTCTGTAGTATCTGGAAGTGAACATTAGGACAGCTTTCAGGTCTATGGTGAGAAAGGAAATATCTTCAAATAAAAACTAGACAGAAGCATTCTCATAAACTTGTTTATGATGTGTGAACTCAGCTAACAGAGGTGGATCTTTCTTTTGATAGAGCAGTTCTGAAAAACACTTTTTGTTGAATCTGCAAGTGGACATTTGGATAGATTTGAAGATTTCGTTGGAAACGGGAATATTTTCATATCAAATCTAGACAGAAGCATTCTCAGAAACGTCTTTGCGATGTTTGCATTCAACTCATAGAGTTGAACATTCCGTTTCAGAGAGCAGCTTTGAAGCACTCTTTTTGTAGTATGTGCAAGTGGATATTTGGAGCGCTCTGAGGCCTACGGGGAAAAAGCAAATATCTTCCCATAACCACTAGACAGAAACATTCTCAGAAACTCCTTTATGACGTATGCACTCACCTAACAGAGAAGAACCTTCCTTTTGACAGAGCAGTTTTGATACACTCTTTTTGTAGAATCTGCAAGTGGATATTTGGATAGCCGTGAAGATTTCGTTGGAAACGGGAATATCTTCCTATAAAATCTAGACAGAAGCATTCTCAGAAACTGCTCTGTGATGTCTGCATTCAAGTCACAGAGTTGAACATTGCCTTTCATAGAGCAGGTTTGAAACGCTCTTTTTGTAGTATATGGAAGTGGATGTTTCGGACGGTTGGAGGCCCATGGTGATAAGGGGAATATCTTCCCCTACAAGCTAGAAAGAAAGCATTCTGTGAAACTTGTTTGTGATGTGTGTACTCAACTAACAGAGTTGAACCTTTCTTTTTACAGAGCAGTTTTGAAACACTCTTTTTGTAGAATCTGCGAGGGGATATTTGGATAGATTTCAGGATTTCGTTGGAAACGGGAATATCTTCATATAAAATCTCGACAGAGCATTCTCTGAAACTTCTTTTTGATATGTGCATTCAAGTCACAGAGTTCAATATTCCCTTTCACAGAGTAGGTTTGAAACACTCTTTTTGTAGTATCTGAAGTGGACATTTGGAGCGCCTTGACGCCTACGGTGAAAAGGGAAATATCTTCTCATAAAAAGTAGACAGAAGCAATCTCAGAATCTTCTTTGGGATATATGCACGCAGCTAACAGAGTTGAACCTTTCTATTGACAGAGCAGTTTTGAAACAGTCTTTCTGTGGAATCTGCAAGTGGATATTTGGATAGCTTGAAGGATTTCGTTGGAAACGGGATTACGTATAAAAAGTAGACAGCAGCATCCTCAGAAACTTCTTTGTGATGTGTGCATTCAAGTCACAGAGTTGAACATTCCCTTTCGTACAGCAGTTTTGAAACACTTTCTGTAGTATCTGGAAGTGAACATTAGGACAGCTTTCAGGTCTATGGTGAGAAAGGAAATATCTTCAAATAAAAACTAGACAGAAGCATTCTGATAAACTTGTTTGTGAAGTGTGAACTCAGCTAACAGTGGTGGATCTTTCTTTTGATACAGCAGTTTTGAAAAACACTTTGTTGAATCTGCAAGTGGACATTTGGATAGATTTGAAGATTTCGTTGGAAACGGGAATATCTTCATATCAAATCTAGACAGAAGCATTCTCGGAAACGTCTTTGTGATGTTTGCATTCAACTCATAGAGTTGAACATTCCGTTTCAGAGAGCAGCTTTGAGGCACTCATTTTGTAGTATGTGCAAGTTGATATTTGGAGCGCTCTGAGGCCTTCGGTGAAAAAGCAAATATCTTCCCATAACCACTAGACAGAAACGTTCTCAGAAACTCCTTTATGACGTATGCACTCACCTAACAGAGAAGAACCTTCCTTTTGACAGAGCAGTTTTGATACACTCTTTTTGTAGAATCTGCAAGTGGATATTGGGATAGCTGTGAAGATTTCGTTGGAAACGGGAATATCTTCCTATAAAATCTAGACAGAAGCATTCTCAGAAACTGCTATGTGATGTCTGCATTCAAGTCACAGAGTTGAACATTGCCTTTCCTAGAGCAGGTTTGAAACGCTCTTTTTGTAGTATATGGAAGTGGAAGTTTCGGACGGTTTGAGGCACATGGTGATAAAGGGAATATCTTCCCCTACAAGCTAGAAAGAAGCATTCTGTGAAACTTTTTTGTGATGTGTGTACTCAACTAACAGAGTTGAACCATTCTTTTTACAGAGCAGTTTTGAAACACTCTTTTTGTAGAATCTGCGTGGGGATATTTGGATAGATTTCAGGATTTCGTTGGAAACGGGATTATCTTCATATAAAATCTCGACAGAAGCATTCTCAGAAACTTCTTTGTGATATGTGTATTCAAGTCACAGAGTTGAATACTCCCTTTCACAGAGTAGGTTTGAAACACTCTTTTTGTAGTATCTGGAAGTGGACATTTGGAGCGCCTTGACGCCTACGGTGAAAAGGGAAATATCTTCCCATAAAAACTAGACAGAAGTAATCTCAGAATCTTCTTTGGGATATATGCACGCAGCTAACAGAGTTGAATCTTTCTATTGACAGAGCAGTTTTGAAACAGTCTTTCTGTGGAATCTGCAAGTGGATATTTGGATAGCTTGGAGGATTTCGTTGGAAACGGGATTACGTATAAAAAGTAGACAGCAGCATCCTCAGAAACTTCTTTGTGATGTGTGCATTCAACTCACAGAGTTGAACATTCCCTTTCGTACAGCAGTTTTGAAACACTCTTTCTGTAGTAACTGGAAGTGAACATTAGGACAGCTTTCAGGTCTATGGTGAGAAAGGAAATATCTTCAAATAAAAACTAGACAGAAGCATTTTCATAAACTTGTTTGTGATGTGTGAACTCAGCTAACAGAGGTGGATCTTTCTTTTGATAGAGCAGTTCTGAAAAACACTTTTTGTTGAATCTGCAAGTGGACATTTGGATAGATTTGAAGATTTCGTTGGAAACGGGAATAACTTCATATCAAATCTAGACAGAAGCATTCTCAGAAACGTCTTTGTGATGTTTGCATTCAACTCATAGAGTTGAACATTCACTTTCAGAGAGCAGCTTTGAAGCACTCTTTTTGTAGTATGTGCAAGTGGATGTTTTGATCGCTCTGTGGCCTACGGTGAAAAAGCAAATATCTTCCCATAACCACTAGACAGAAACATTCTCAGAAACTCCTTTATGACGTATGCACTCACCTAACAGAGAAGAACCTTCCTTTTGACAGAGCAGTTTTGATACACTCTTTTTGTAGAATCTGCAAGTGGATATTTGGATAGCTGTGAAGATTTCGTTGGAACGGGAATATCTTCCTATAAAATCTAGACAGAAGCATTCTCAGAAACTGCTCTGTGATGTCTGCATTCAAGTCACAGAGTTGAACATTGCCTTTCATAGAGCAGGTTTGAAATGCTCTTTTTGCAGTATATGGAAGTGGACGTTTCAGACGGTTTGAGGCCCATGGTGATAAAGGGAATATCTTCCCCTACAAGCTAGAAAGAAGCATTCTGTGAAACTTGTTTGTGATGTGTGTACTCAACTAACAGAGTTGAACCTTTCTTTTTACAGAGCACTTTTGAAACACTCTTTTTGTAGAATCTGCGAGGGGATATTTGGATAGATTTCAGGATTTGGTTGGAAACTGGAATATCTTCATATAAAATCTCGACAGAAGCATTCTCAGAAACTTCTTTGTGATATCTGCCTTTAAGTCACAGAGTTGAATATTCCCTTTCACAGAGTAGGTTTGAAACACTCTTTTTGTAGTATCTGGAAGTGAACATTTGGAGCGCCTTGACACCTACGGTGAAAAGGGAAATATCTTCCCATAAAAACTAGACAGAAGCAATCTCAGAATCTTCTTTGGGATATATGCACGCAGCTAACAGAGTTGAACCTTTCTATTGACAGAGCAGTTTTGAAACAGTCTTTCTATGGATTCTGCAAGTGGATATTTGGATAGCTTGGAGGATTTCGTTGGAAACGGGATTACGTATAATAAGTAGACAGCAGCATCCTCAGAAACTTCTTTCTGATGTGTGCATTCAAGTCACAGAGTTGAACATTCCCTTTCGTACAGCAGTTTTGAAACACTCTTTCTGTAGTATCTGGAAGTGAACATTAGGACAGCTTTCAGGTCTATGGTGAGAAAGGAAATATCTTCAAATAAAAATTAGACAGAAGCATTCTCAAAAACATGTTTGCGATGTCTGAACTCAGCTAACAGAGGTGGATCTTTCTTTTGATAGAGCAGTTCTGAAAAACACTTTTTGTTGAATCTGCAAGTGGACATTTGGATAGATTTGAAGATTTCGTTGGAAACGGGAATATCTTCATATCAAATCTAGACAGAAGCATTCTCAGAAACGTCTTTGCGATGTTTGCATTCAACTCATAGAGTTGAACATTCCCTTTGAGAGAGCAGCTTTGAAGCACTCTTTTTGTAGCATGTGCAAGTGGACATTTGGAGCGCCCTGAGGCCTACGGGGAAAAAGCAAATATCTTCCCATAACCACTAGACAGAAACATTCTCAGAAACTCCTTTATGACGTATGCACTCACCTAACAGAGAAGAACCTTCCTTTTGAGAGAGCAGTTTTGATACACTCTTTTTGTAGAATCTGCAAGTGGATATTTGGATAGCTGTGAAGATTTCGTTGGAAACGGGAATATCTTCCTATAAAATCTAGACAGAAGCATTCTCAGAAACTGCTCTGTGATGTCTGCATTCAAGTCACAGAGTTGAACATTGCCTTTCCTGGAGCAGGTTTGAAACGCTCTTTTTGTAGTATATGGAAGTGGACGTTTCGGACGGTTTGAGGCCCATGGTGATAAAGGGAATATCTTCCCCTACAAGCTAGAAAGAAGCATTCTGTGAAACTTGTTTGTGATGTGTGTACTCAACTAACAGAGTTGAACCTTTCTTTTTAAAGAGCAGTTTTGAAACACTCTTTTTGTAGAATCTGCGAGGGGATATTTGGAGAGATTTCAGGATTTCGTTGGAAACGGGAATATCTTCATATAAAATCTCGACAGAAGCATTCTCAGAAACTTCATTGTGATATCTGCATTCAAGTCACAGAGCGGAATATTCCCTTTCAGAGAGTAGGTTTGAAACACTCTTTTTGTAGTATCTGGAAGTGGACATTTGGAGCGCCTTGACACCTACGGTGAAAAGGGAAATATCTTCCCATGAAAACTAGACAGAAGCAATCTCAGAATTTTCTTTGGGATATATGCACACAGCTAACAGAGTTGAACTTTTCTATTGAAATAGCAGTTTTGAAACAGTCTTTCTGTGGAATCTGCAAGTGGATATTTGGATAGCTTGGAGGATTTCGTTGGAAACGGGATTACGTATAAAAAGTAGACAACAGCATCCTCAGAAACATCCTTGTGATGTGTGCATTCAAGTCACAGAGTTGAACATTCCCTTTCGTACAGCAGTTTTGAAACACTCTTTCTGTAGTATCTGGAAGTGAACTTTAGGACAGCTTTCAGGTCTATAGTGAGAAAGGATATATCTTCAAATAAAAACTAGACAGAAGCATTCTCATAAACTTGTTCGTGATGTGTGAACTCAGCTAAGAGCCGTGGATCTTTCTTTTGATAGAGCAGTTCTGAAAAACACTTTTTGTTGAATCTGCAAGTGGACATTTGGATAGATTTGAAGATTTCTTTGGAAACGGGAATATCTTCATATCAAATCTAGACAGAAGCATTCTCAGAAACGTCTTTGTGATGTTTGCATTCAACTCATAGAGTTGAACATTCCCTTTCAGAGAGCAGTTTTGAAGCACTCTTTTTGTAGTAAGTGCAAATTGACATTTGGAGCGCTTTGAGGCCTAAGGGGAAAAAGCAAATATCTTCCCATAACCACTAGACAGAAACATTCTCAGAAACTCCTTTATGACGTATGCACTCACCTAACAGAGAAGAACCTTCCATTTGACAGAGCAGTTTTGATACACTCTTTTTGTAGAATCTGCAAGTGGATATTTGGATAGCTGTGAAGATTTCGTTGGAAACGGGAATATCTTCCTATAAAATCTAGACAGAAGCATTCTCAGAAACTGCTCTGTGATGTCTGCATTCAAGTCACAGAGTTGAACATTGCTTTTCCAAGAACAGGTTTGAAACGCTCTTTTTGTAGTATATGGAAGTGGACGTTTCGGACGGTTTGAGGCCCATGGTGATAAAGTGAATATCTTCCCCTACAAGCTAGAAAGAAAGCATTCTGTGAAACTTATTTGTGATGTGTGTACTCAACTAACAGAGTTGAACCTTTCTTTTTACAGAGCAGTTTTGAAACACTCTTTTTGTAGAATCTGCGAGGGGATATTTGGATAGATTTCAGGATTTCTTTGGAAACGGGAATATCTTCATATAAAATCTCGACAGAAGCATTCTCAGAAACTTCTTTGTGATATGTGCATTCAAGTCACAGAGTTGAATATTCCCTTTCACCGAGTAGGTTTGAAACACTCTTTTTGTAGTATCTGGAAGTGGACATTTGGAGCGCCTTGACGCCTACGGTGAAAAGGGAAATATCTTCCCATAAAAACTAGACAGAAGCAATCTCAGAATCTTCTTTGGGATATATGCACGAAGCTAACAGAGTTGAACCTTTCTATTGACAGAGCAGTTTTGAAACAGTCTTTCTGTGGAATCTGCAAGTGGATATTTGGATAGCTTGGAGGATTTCAATGGAAACGGGATTACGTATAAAAAGTAGACAGCAGCATCCTCAGAAACTTCTTTGTGATGTGTGCATTCAAGTCACAGAGTTGAACATTCCCTTTCGTACAGCAGTTTTGAAACACTCTTTCTGTAGCATCTGGAAGTGAACATTAGGACAGCTTTCAGGTCTATGGTGAGAAAGGAAATATCTTCAAATAAAAACTAGACAGACAAGCATTCTCATAAACTTGTTTGTGATGTGTGAACTCAGCTAACAGACGTGGATCTTTCTTTTGATACAGCAGTTTTGAAAAACACTTTTTGTTGAATCTGCAAGTGGACATTTGGATAGATTTGAAGATTTCGTTGGAAACGGGAATATCTTCATATCAAATCTAGACAGAAGCATTCTCAGAAACGTCTTTGTGATGTTTGCATTCAACTCATAGAGTTGAACATTCCGTTTCAGAGAGCAGCTTTGAAGCACTCTTTTTGTAGTATGTGCAAGTGGATATTTGGATCGCTCTGAGGCCTACGGTGAAAAAGCAAATATCTTCCCGTAACCACTAAACAGAAACATTCTCAGAAACTCCTTTATGACGTATGTACGCAACTAACAGAGAAGAACCTTCTTTTTGACAGAGCAGTTTTGATACACTCTTTTTGTAGAATCTCCAAGTGGATATTTGGATAGCTGTGAAGATTTCGTTGGAAACGGGAATATCTTCCTATAAAATCTAGACAGAAGCATTCTCAGAAACTGCTCTGTGATGTCTGCATTCAAGTCACAGAGTTGAACATTGCCTTTCATAGAGCAGGTTTGAAACGCTCTTTTTGTAGTATATGGAAGTGGACTTATCGGACGGTTTGAGGCCCATGGTTATAAAGGGAATATCTTCCCCTACAAGCTAGAAAGAAGCATTCTGTGAAACTTGTTTGTGATGTGTGTACTCAACTAACAGAGTTGAACCTTTCTTTTCACAGAGCAGTTTTGAAACACTCTTTTTGTAGAATCTGCGAGGGGATATTTGGATAGATTTCAGGATTTGGTTGGAAACGGGAATATCTTCATATAAAATCTCGACAGAAGCATTCTCAGAAACTTCTTTGTGATATGTGCATTCAAGTCTCAGTGTTGAATATTCCCTTTCACAGAGTAGGTTTGAAACACTCTTTTTGTTGTATCTGGAAGTGGACATTTGGAGCGCCTTGACACCTACGATGAAAAGGGAAATATCTTCCCATAAAAACTAGACAGAAGCAATCTCAGAATCTTCTTTGGGATATATGCAGGCAGCTAACAGAGTTGAACATTTGTATTGACAGAGCAGTTTTGAAACAGTCTTTCTGTGGAATCTGCAAGTGGATATTTGGATAGCTTGGAAGTTTTCTTTGGAAACGGGATTACGTAAAAAAAGTAGACTGCAGCATCCTCAGAAACATCCTTGTGATGTGTGCATTCAAGTCACAGAGTTGAACATTCCCTTTCGTACAGCAGTTTTGAAACACTCTTTCTGTAGTATCTGGAAGTGAACTTTAGGACAGCTTTCAGGTCTATAGTGAGAAAGGATATATTTTCAAATAAAAACTAGACGGAAGCATTCTGATAAACTTGTTTGTGAAGTGTGATCTCAGCTAACAGAGGTGGATCTTTCTTTGAATAGAGCAGTTCTGAAAAACACTTTGTTGAATCTGGAAGTGGACATTTGGATAGATTTCAAGATTTCGTTGGAAACGGGAATATCTTCATATCAAATCTAGACAGAAGCATTCTCAGAAACGTCTTTGCGATGTTTGCATTCAACTCATAGAGTTGAACATTCCCTTTCAGAGAGCAGCTTTGAAGCACTCTTTTTGTAGTATGTGCAAGTTGACATTTGGAGCGCTTTGAGGCCTACGGGGAAAAAGCAAATATCTTCCCATAACCACTAGACAGAATCATTCTCAGAAACTCCTTTATGACGTATGCACTCACCTAACAGAGAAGAACCTTCCTTTTGACAGAGCAGTTTTGATACACTCTTTTTGTAGAATCTGCAAGTGGATATTGGGATAGCTGTGAAGATTTCGTTGGAAACGGGAATATCTTCCTATAAAATCTAGACAGAAGCATTCTCAGAAACAGCTCTGTGATGTCTGCATTCAAGTCACAGAGTTGAACATTGCCTTTCATAGAGCAGGTTTGAAACGCTCTTTTTGTAGTATATGGAAGTGGACGTTTCGGACGGTTTGAGGCCCATGGTGATAAAGGGAATAACTTCCCCTACAAGCTAGAAAGAAGCATTCTGTGAAACTTGTTTGTGATGTGTGTACTCAACTAACAGAGTTGAACCTTTCTTTTCACAGAGCAGTTTTGAAACACTCTTTTTGTAGAATCTGCGAGGGGATATTTGGATAGATTTCAGGATTTCGTTGGAAACGGGAATATCTTCATATAAAATCTCTACAGAAGCATTCTCAGAAACTTCTTTGTGATATGTGCATTCAAGTCACAGAGTTGAATATTCCCTTTCACAGTGTAGGTTTGAAACACTCTTTTTGTAGTATCTGGATGTGGACATTTGGAGCGCCTTGACGCCTACGGTGAAAAGGGAAATATCTTCCCATAAAAACTAGACAGAAGCAATCTCAGAATCTTCTTTGGGATATATGCACGCAGCTAACAGAGTTGAACATTTCTATTGACAGAGCAGTTTTGAAACAGTCGTTCTGTGGAATCTGCAAGTGGATATTTCGATAGCTTGGAGGATTTCGTTGGAAACGGGATTACGTATCAAAAGTACACAGCAGCATCCTCAGAAACTTCTTTGTGATGTGTGCATTCAAGTGACAGAGTTGAACATTCCCTTTCGTACAGCAGTTTTGAAACACTCTTTCTGTAGTATCTGGAAGTGAACATTAGGACAGCTTTCAGCTCTATGGTGAGAAAGGAAATATCTTCAAATAAAAACTAGACAGAAGCATTCTCATAAACTTGTTTGTGATGTGTGAACTCAGCTAACAGAGGTGGATCTTTCTCTTGATAGAGCAGTTCTGAAAAACACTTTTTGTTGAATCTGCAAGTGGACATTTGGATAGATTTGAAGATTTCGTTGGAAACGGGAATATCTTCATATCAAATCTAGACAGAAGCATTCTCAGAAACGTCTTTGTGATGTTTGCATTCAACTCATAGAGTTGAACATTCCGTTTCATAGAGCAGCTTTGAGGCACTCTTTTTGTAGTATGTGCAAGTGGATATTTGGAGCGCTCTGAGGCCTACGGTGAAAAAGCAAATATCTTCCCATAACCACTAGACAGAAACATTCTCAGAAACTCCTTTATGACGTATGCACTCACCTAACAGAGAAGAACCTTCCTTTTGACAGAACAGTTTTGATACACTCTTTTTGTAGAATCTGCAAGTGGATATTTGGATAGCTGTGAAGATTTCGTTGGAAACGGGAATATCTTCCTATAAAATCTAGACAGAAGCATTCTCAGAAACTGCTCTGTGATGTCTGTATTCAAGTCACAGAGTTGAACATTGCCTTTCATAGAGCAGGTTTGAAACGCTCTTGTTGTAGTATATGGAAGTGGATGTTTCGGACGGTTGGAGGCCCATGGTGATAAAGGGAATATCTTCCCCTACAAGCTAGAAAGAAAGCATTCTGTGAAACTTGTTTGTGATGTGTGTACTCAACTAACAGAGTTGAACCTTTCTTTTTACAGAGCAATTTTGAAACACTCTTTTTGTAGAATCTGCGAAGGGATATTTGGATAGATTTCAGGATTTCGTTGGAAACGGGAGTATCTTCATATAAAATCTCGACAGAAGCATTCTCAGAAACTTCTTTGTGATATCTGCCTTTAAGTCACAGAGTTGAATATTCCCTTTCACAGAGTAGGTTTGAAGCACTCTTTTTGTAGTATCTGGAAGTGGACATTTGGAGCGCCTTGACACCTACGGTGAAAAGGGAAATATCTTCCCATAAAAACTAGACAGAAGCAATCTCAGAATCTTCTTTGGGATATATGCACGCAGCTAACAGAGTTGAACCTTTCTATTGACAGAGCAGTTTTGAAACAGTCTTTCTGTGGAATCTGCAAGTGGATATTTGGATAGCTTGGAGGATTTCGTTGGAAACGGGATTACGTATAAAAAGTAGATAGCAGCATCCTCAGAAATTTCTTTGTGATGTGTGCATTCAAGTCACAGATTTGAACATTCCCTTTCATACAGCAGTTTTGAAACACTCTTTCTGTAGTATCTGGAAGTGAACATTAGGACAGCTTTCAGGTCTATGGTGAGAAAGGAAATATCTTCAAATAAAAACTAGACAGAAGCATTTTCATAAACTTGTTTGTGATGTGTGAACTCAGCTAACAGAGGTGAATCTTTCTTTTGATAGAGCATCAGCTAACAGACGTGGATCTTTCTTTTGATACAGCAGTTTTGAAAAACACTTTTTGTTGAATCTGCAAGTGGACATTTGGATAGATATGAAGATTTCGTTGGAAACGGGAATATCTTCATATCAAATCTAGACAGAAGCATTCTCAGAAACGTCTTTGTGATGTTTGCATTCAACTCATAGAGTTGAACATTCCGTTTCAGAGAGCAGCTTTGAGGCACTCTTTTTGTAGTATGTGCAAGTGGATATTTGGAGCGCTCTGAGGCCTACGGTGAAAAAGCCAATATCTTCCCATAACCACTAGACAGAAACATTCTCAGAAACTCCTTTATGACGTATGCACTCACCTAACAGAGAAGAACCTTCCTTTTGACGGAGCAGTTTTGATACACTCTTTTTGCAGAATCTGCAAGTGGATATTTGGATAGCTGTGAAGATTTCGTTGGAAACGGGAATATCTTCCTATAAAATCTAGATGGAAGCATTCTCAGAAACTGCTCTGTGATGTCTGCATTCAAGTCACAGAGTTGAACATTGCCTTTCCTAGAACAGGTTTGAAACGCTCTTTTTGTAGTACATGGAAGTGGACGTTTCGGACGGTTTGAGGCCCATGGTGATAAAGGGAATATCTTCCCCTACAAGCTAGAAAGAAGCATTCTGTGAAACTTGTTTGTGATGTGTGTACTCAAACTAACAGAGTTGAACCTTTCTTTTTACAGAGCAGTTTTGAAACACTCTTTTTGTAGAATCTGCGAGGGGATATTTGGATAGATTTCAGGATTTCGTTGGAAAGGGGAATATCTTCATATAAAATCTCGACAGAAGCATTCTCAGAAACTTCTTTGTGATATGTGCATTCAAGTCACAGAGTTGAATATTCCCTTTCACAGAGTTGGTTTGAAACACTCTTTTTGTAGTATCTGGAAGTGGACATTTGGAGCGCCTTGACACCTACGGTGAAAAGGGAAATATCTTCCCATAAAAACTAGACAGAAACAATCTCAGAATCTTCTTTGGGATATATGCACGCAGCTAACAGAGTTGAACCTTTCTATTGACAGAGCAGTTTTGAAACAGTCTTTCTGTGGAATCTGCAAGTGGATATTTGGATAGCTTGGAGGATTTCGTTGGAAACGGGATTACGTATAAAAAGTAGACAGCAGCATCCTCAGAAACTTCTTTGTGATGTGTGCATTCAAGTCACAGAGTTGAACAATCCCTTTCGTACAGCAGTTTTGAAATACTCTTTCTGTAGTAACTGGAAGTGAACATTAGGAAAGCTTTCAGGTCTATGGTGAGAAAGGAAATATCTTCAAATAAAAACTAGACAGAAGCATTCTCATAAACTTGTTTGTGATGTCTGAACTCAGCTAACAGAGGTGGATCTTTCTTTTGATAGAGCAGTTCTGAAAAACACTTTTTGTTGAATCTGCAAGTGGACATTTGGATAGATTTGAAGATTTCGTTGGAAACGGGAATATCTTCATATCAAATCTAGACAGAAGCATTCTCAGAAACGTCTTTGTGATGTTTGCATTCAACTCATAGAGTTGAACATTCCCTTTCAGAGAGCAGCTTTGAAGCACTCTTTTTGTAGTATGTGCAAGTGGATATTTGGAGCGCTCTGAGGCCTACGGTGAAAAAGCAAATATCATCCCATAACCACTAGACGGAAACATTCTCAGAAACTCCTTTATGACCTATGCACTCACCTAAAAGAGAAGAACCTTCCTTTTGACAGAGCAGTTTTGATACACTCTTTTTGTAGAATCTGCAAGTGGATATTTGGATAGCTGTGAAGATTTCGTTGGAAACGGGAATATCTTCCTATAAAATCTAGACAGAAGCATTCTCAGAAACTGCTCTGTGATGTCTGCATTCAAGTCACAGAGTTGAACATTGCCTTTCATAGAGCACGTTTGAAACGCTCTTTTTGTAGTATATGGAAGTAGACGTTTCGGACGGTTTGAGGCCCATAGTGATAAAGGGAATATCTTCCCCTACAAGATAGAAAGAAGCATTCTGTGAAACTTCTTTGTGATGTGTGTACTCAACTAACAGAGTTGAACCTTTCTTTTTACAGAGCAGTTTTGAAACACTCTTTTTGTAGAATCTGCGAGGGGATATTTGGATAGATTTCAGGATTTCGTTGGAAACGGGAATATCTTCATATAAAATCTCGACAGAAGCATTCTCAGAAACTTCTTTGTGATATCTGCATTCAAGTCACAGAGTTGAATATTCCCTTTCACAGAGTAGGTTTGAAACACTCTTTTTGTAATATCTGGAAGTGGACATTTGGAGCGCCTTGACGCCTACGGTGAAAAGGGAAATATCTTCCCATAAAAACTAGACAGAAGCAATCTCAGAATCTTCTTTGGGATATATGCACGCAGCTAACAGAGTTGAACCTTTCTATTGACAGAGCAGTTTTGAAACAGTCTTTCTGTGGAATCTGCAAGTGGATATTTGGATAGCTTGGAGGATTTCGTTGGAAACGGGATTACGCATAAAAAGTAGACAGCAGCATCCTCAGAAACTTCTTTGTGATGTGTGCATTCAAGTCACAGAGTTGAACATTCCCTTTCGTACAGCAGTTTTGAAACACTCTTTCTGTAGTATCTGGAAGTGAACATTAGGACAGCTTTCAGGTCTATGGTGAGAAAGGAAATATCTTCAAATAAAAACTATACAGAAGCATTCTCATAAACTTGTTTGTGATGTGTGAACTCAGCTAAGAGACGTGGATCTTTCTTTTGATAGAGCAGTTCTGAAAAACACGTTTTGTTGAATCTGCAAGTGGACATTTGGATAGATTTGAAGATTTCGTGGGAACGGGAATATCTTCATATCAAATCTAGACAGAAGCATTCTCAGAAACGTCTTTGTGATGTTTGCATTCAACCCATAGAGTTGAACATTCCGTTTCAGAGAGCAGCTTTGAAGCGCTCTTTTTGTAGTATGTGCAAGGGGATATTTGGAGCGCTCTGAGGCCTAAGGTGAAAAAGCAAATATCTTCCCATAACCACTAGACAGAAACATTCTCAGAAACTTCTTTATGACGTATGTACTCAACTAGCAGAGAAGAACTTTCCTTTTGACAGAGCATTTTTGATACACTCTTTTTGTACTATCTGCAAGTGGATATTTGTATAGCTGTGAAGATTTCGTTGGAAACGGGAATATCTTCCTATAAAGTCTGGACAGAAGCATTCTCAGAAACTGCTCTGTGATGTCTGCATTCAAGTCACAGAGTTGAACATTGCCTTTCATAGAGCAGGTTTCAAACACTGTTTTTTTAGTATATGGAAGTGGACGTTTTGGACGGTTTGAGGCCCATGGTGATAAAGGAAATATCTTCCCCTACAAGCTAGAAAGAAGCATTCTGTGAAACTTGTTTGTGATGTGTGTACTCAACTAACAGAGTTGAACCTTTCTTTTTACAGAGCAGTTTTGAAACACTCTTTTTGTAGAATCTGCGAGGGCATATTTGGATAGATTTCAGGATTTCGTTGGAAACGGGAATATCTACATATAAAATCTCGACAGAAGCATTCTCAGAAACTTCTTTGTGATATCTGCCTTCAAGTCACAGAGTTGAATATTCCCTTTCACAGAGTAGGTTTGAAACACTCTTTTTGTAGTATCTGGAAGTGGACATTTGGAGCGCCTTGACGCCTAAGGTGAAAAGGGAAATATCTTCCCATAAAAACTAGACAGAAGCAATCTCACAATCTTCTTTGGGATATATGCACGCAGCTAACAGAGTTGAACCTTTCTATTGACAGAGCAGTTTTGAAACAGTCTTTCTGTGGAATCTGCAAGTGGATATTTGGATAGCTTGGAGGATTTCGTTGGAAACGGGATTACGTATAAAAAGTAGACAGCAGCATCGTCAGAAACTACTTTGTGATGTGTGCATTCAAGTCACAGAGTTGAACATTCCCTTTCGTACAGCAGTTTTGAAACACTCTTTCTGTAGTATCTGGAAGTGAACATTAGGACAGCTTGCAGGTCTATGGTGAGAAGGGAAATATCTTCAAATAAAAACTAGACAGAAGCATTCTCATAAACTTGTTTGTGATGTGTGAACTCAGCTAACCGAGATGGATCTTTCTTTTGATAGAGCAGTTCTGAAAAACACTTTTTGTTGAATCTGCAAGTGGACATTTGGATAGATTTGAAGATTTCGTTGGAAACGGGAATATCTTCATATCAAATCTAGACAGAAGCATTCTCGGAAACGTCTTTGTGATGTTTGCATTCAACTCATAGAGTTGAACATTCCGTTTCAGAGAGCAGCTTTGAGGCACTCATTTTGTAGTATGTGCAAGTGGATATTTGGAGCGCTCTGAGGCCTTCGGTGAAAAAGCAAATATCTTCCCATAACCACTAGACAGAAACATTCTCAGAAACTTCTTTATGACGTATGTACTCAACTAGCAGAGAAGAACTTTCCTTTTGACAGAGCAGTTTTGATACACTCTTTTTGTAGAATCTGCAAGTGGATATTTGGATATCTGTGAAGATTTCGCTGGAAACGGGAATATCTTCCTATAAAATCTAGACAGAAGCATTCTCAGAAACTGCTCTGTGATGTCTGCATTCAAGTCACGGAGTTGAACATTGCCTTTCATAGAGCAGGTTTGAAACGCTCTTTTTGTAGTATATGGAAGTGGACGTTTCGGACGGTTTGAGGCCCATGGTGATAAAGGGAATATCTTCCCCTACAAGCTAGAAAGAAGCATTCTGTGAAACTTGTTTGTGATGTGTGTACTCAACTAACAATAGTTGAACCTTTCTTTTTACAGAGCAGTTTTGAAACACTCTTTTTGTAGAATCTGCGAGGGGATATTTGGATACATTTCAGCATTTCGTTGGAAACGGGAATATCTTCATATAAAATCTCGACAGAAGCATTCTCAGAAACTTCTTTGGGATATCTGCATTCAAGTCACAGAGTTGAATATTCCCTTTCACAGAGTAGGTTTGAAACACTCTTTTTGTAGTATCTGGAAGTGGACATTTGGAGCGCATTGACGCCTACAGTGAAAAAGGAAATATCTTCCCATAAAAACTAGACAGAAGCAATCTCAGAATCTTCTTTGGGATATATGCACGCAGCTAACAGAGTTGAACCTTTCTATTGACAGAGCAGTTTTGAAACAGTCTTTCTCTGGAATCTGCAAGTGGATATTTGGATAGCTTGGAGGATTTCGTTGGAAACAGGATTACGTATAAAAAGTAGACAGCAGCATTCTCAGAAAATTCTTTGTGATGTGTGCATTCAAGTCACAGAGTTGAACATTCCCTTTCGTACAGCAGTTTTGAAACACTCTTTCTGTAGTATCTGGAAGTGAACATTAGGAGAGCTTCCAGGTCTATGGTGAGAAAGGATATATCTTCAAATAAAAACTAGACAGAAGCATTCTCATAAACTTGTTTGTGATGTGTGAACTCAGCTAACAGACGTGGATCTTTCCTTTGATACAGCAGTTTTGAAAAACACTTTTTGTTGAATCTGCAAGTGGACATTTGGATAGATTTGAAGATTTCGTTGGAAACGGGAATATCTTCATATCAAATCTAGACAGAAGCATTCTCAGAAACGTCTTTCTGATGTTTGCATTCAACTCATAGAGTTGAACATTCCCTTTCAGAGAGCAGCTTTGAAGCACTCTTTTTGTAGTATGTGCAAGGGGATATTTGGAGCGCTCTGAGGCCTACGGTGAAAAAGCAAATATCTTCCCATAACCACTAGACAGAAACATTCTCAGAAACTCCTGTATGACGTATGCACTCACCTAACAGAGAAGAACCTTCCTTTTGACAGAGCAGTTTTGATACACTCTTTTTGTAGAATATGCAAGTGGATATTTGGATAGCTGTGAAGATTTCTTTGGAAACGGGAATATCTTCCTATAAAATCTAGACAGAAGCATTCTCAGAAACTGCTCTTTGATGTCTGCATTCAAGTCACAGAGTTGAACATTGCCTTTCATAGAGCAGGTTTGAAACGCTCTTTTTGTAGTATATGGAAGTGGATGTTTCGGACGGTTGGAGGCCCATGGTGATAAAGGGAATATCTTCCCCTACAAGCTAGAAAGAAGCATTGTGTGAAACTTGTTTGTGATGTGTGTACTCAACTAACAGAGTTGAACCTTTCTTTTTACAGAGCAGTTTTGAAACACTCTTTTTGTAGAATCTGCGAGGGGATATTTGGATACATTTCAGGATTTCGTTGGAAACGGGAATACCTTCATATAAAATCTCGACAGAAGCATTCTCAGAAACTTCTTTGTGATATCTGCCTTCAAGTCACAGAGTTGAATATTCCCTTTCACAGAGTAGGTTTGAAACACTCTTTTTGTAGTATCTGGAAGTGGACATTTGGAGCGCCTTGACGCCTACGGTGAAAAGGGAAATATCTTCCCATAAAAACTAGACAGAAGCAATCTCAGAATCTTCTTTGGGATATATGCACGCAGCTAACAAAGTTGAACCTTTCTATTGACAGAGCAGTTTTGAAACAGTCTTTCTGTGGAATCTGCAAGTGGATATTTGGATAGCTTGGAGGATTTCGTTGGAAACGGGATTACGTATAAAAAGTAGACAGCAGCATCCTCAGAAACTTCTTTGTGATGTGTGCATTCAAGTCACAGAGTTGAACATTCCCTTTCGTACAGCAGTTTTGAAACACTCTTTCTGTACTATCTGGAAGTGAACATTAGGACAGCTTTCAGCTCTATGGTGAGAAAGGAAATATCTTCAAATAAAAACTAGACAGAAGCATTCTGATAAACTTGTTTGTGAAGTGTGATCTCAGCTAACAGAGGTGGATCTTTCTTTTGATAGAGCAGTTCTGAAAAACACTTTGTTGAATCTGCAAGTGGACATTTGGATAGATTTGAAGATTTCGTTGGAAACGGGAATATCTTCATATCAAATCTAGACAGAAGTATTCTCAGAAACGTCTTTGTGATGTTTGCATTCAACTCATAGAGTTGAACATTCCCTTTCAGAGAGCAGCTTTGAAGCACTCTTTTTGTAGTATGTGCAAGTGGATATTTGGAGCGCTCTGAGGCCTACGGTGAAAAAGCAAATATCTTCCCATAACCACTAGACAGAAACATTCTCAGAAACTCCTTTATGACGTATGCACTCACCTAACAGAAAAGAACCTTCCTTTTGACAGAGCAGTTTTGATACACTCTTTTTGTAGAATCTACAAGTGGATATTTGGATAGCTGTGAAGATTTCGTTGGAAACGGGAATATCTTCCTTTAAAATCTAGACAGAAGCATTCTCAGAAACTGCTCTGTGATGTCTGTATTCAAGTCACAGAGTTGAACATTGCCTTTCATAGAGCAGGTTTGAAACGCTCTTTTTGTAGTATATGGAAGTGGATGTTTCGGACGGTTGGAGGCCCATGGTGATAAACGGAATATCTTCCCCTACAAGCTAGAAAGAAGCATTCTGTGAAACTTGTTTGTGATGTGTGTACTCAACTAACAGAGTTGAACATTTCTTTTTACAGAGCAGTTTTGAAACACTCTTTTTGTAGAATCTGCGAGGGGATATTAGGATAGATTTCAGGATTTCGTTGGAAACGGGAATATCTTCATATAAAATCTCGACAGAAGCATTCTCAGAAACTTCTTTGTGATATGTGCATTCAAGTCACAGAGTTGAATATTCCCTTTCACAGAGTAGGTTTGAAACACTCTTTTTGTAGTATCTGGAAGTGGACATTTGGAGCGCCTTGACACCTACGGTCAAAAGGGAAATATCTTCCCATAAAAACTAGACAGAAGCAATCTCAGAATCTTCTTTGGGATATATGCACACAGCTAACAGAGTTGAACCTTTCTATTGACAGAGCAGTTTTGAAACAGTCTTTCTGTGGAATCTGCAAGTGGATATTTGGATAGCTTGGAGGATTTCGTTGGAAACGGGATTAAGTATAAAAAGTAGACAGCAGCATCCTCAGAAACTTCTTTGTGATGTGTGCATTCAAGTCACAGAGTTGAACATTCCCTTTCGTACAGCAGTTTTGAAACGCTCTTTCTGTAGTATCTGGAAGTGAACATTAGGAGAGCTTTCAGGTCTATGTTGAGAAAGGAAATATCTTCAAATAAAAACTAGACAGAAGCATTCTCATAAACTTGTTTGTGATGTGTGAACTCAGCTAACAGAGGTGGATCTTTCTTTTGATAGAGCAGTTCTGAAAAACACTTTTGTTTAATCTGCAAGTGGACATTTGGATAGATTTGAAGATTTCGTTGGAAACGGGAATATCTTCATATCAAATCTAGACAGAAGCATTCTCAGAAACGTCTTTGTGATGTTTGCATTCAACTCATAGAGTTGAACATTCCGTTTCAGAGAGCAGCTTTGAGGCACTCTTTTTGTAGTATGTGCAAGTGGATATTTGGAGCGCTCTGAGGCCTGCGGTGAAAAAGCAAATATCTTCCCATAACCACTAGACAGAAACATTCTCAGAAACTCCTTTATGACGTATGCACTCACCTAACAGAGAAGAACCTTCCTTTTGACAGAGCAGTTTTGATACACTCTTTTTGTAGAATCTGCAAGTGGATATTTGGATAGCTGTGAAGATTTCGTTGGAAACGGGAATACCTTCCTATAAAATCTAGACAGAAGCATTCTCAGAAACTGCTCTGTGATGTCTGCATTCAAGTCACAGAGTTGAACATTGCCTTTCCTAGAGCAGGTTTGAAACGCTCTTTTTGTAGAATATGGAAGTGGATGTTTCGGACGGTTGGAGGCCCATGGTGATAAAGGGAAAATCTTCCCCTACAAGCTAGAAAGAAGCATTGTGTGAAACTTGTTTGTGATGTGTGTACTCAACTAACAGAGTTGAACCTTTCTTTTTACAGAGCAGTTTTGAAACACTCTTTTTGTAGAATCTGCAAGGGGATATTTGGATAGATTTCAGGGATTTCGTTGGAAACGGGAATATCTTCATATAAAATCTCGACAGAAGCATTCTCAGAAACTTCTTTGTGATATCTGCATTCCAGTCACAGAGTTGAATATTCCCTTTCACAGAGTAGGTTTGAAACACTCTTTTTATAGTATCTGGAATTGGACATTTGGAGCGCCTTGACGCCTACGGTGAAAAGGGAAATATCTTCCGATAAAAACTAGACAGAAGAAATCTCAGAATCTTCTTTGGGATATATGCACGCAGCTAACAGAGTTGAACCTTTCTATTGACAGAGCAGTTTTGAAACAGTCTTTCTGTGGAATCTGCAAGTGGATATTTGGATAACTTGGAGGATTTCGTTGGAAACGGGATTACGTATAAAAAGTAGACAGCAGCATCCTCAGAAACATCCTTGTGATGTGTGCATTCAAGTCACAGAGTTGAACATTCCCTTTCGTACAGCAGTTTTGAAACACTCTTTCTGTAGTATCTGTAAGTGAACTTTAGGACAGCTTTCAGGTCTATAGTGAGAAAGGATATATCTTCAAATAAAAACTAGACAGAAGCATACTCATAAACTTGTTCGTGATGTGTGAACTCAGCTAAGAGCCGTGGATCTTTCTTTTGATAGAGCAGTTCTGAAAAACACTTTTTGTTGAATCTGCAAGTGGACATTTGCATAGATTTGAAGATTTCTTTGGAAACGGGAATATCTTCATATCAAATCTAGACAGAAGCATTCTCAGAAACGTCTTTGTGGTGTTTGCATTCAACTCATAGAGTTGAACATTCCGTTTCAGAGAGCAGCTTTGAAGCACTCTTTTTGTAGTATGTGCAAGTGGATATTTGGAGCGCTCTGAGGCCTACGGGGAAAAAGCAAATATCTTCCCATAACCACTAGACTGAAACATTCTCAGAAACTCCTTTATGACGTATGCACTCACCTAACAGAGAAGAACCTTCCTTTTGACAGAGCAGTTTTGATACACTCTTTTTGTAGAATCTGCAAGTGGATATTAGGATAGCTGTGAAGATTTCGTTGGAAACGGGAATATCTTCCTATAAAATCTAGACAGAAGCATTCTCAGAAATTGCTCTGTGATGTCTTCATTCAAGTCACAGAGTTGAACATTGCCTTTCATAGAGCAGGTTTGAAACACTCTTTTTTTAGTATATGGAAGTGGACGTTTCGGACGGTTTGAGGCCCATGGTGATAAAGGGAATATCTTCCCCTACAAGCTAGAAAGAATCATTCTGTGAAACTTGTTTGTGATGTGTGTACTCAACTAACAGAGTTGAACCTTTCTTTTTACAGAGCAGTTTTGAAACACTCTTTTTGTAGAATCTGCGAGGGGATATTTGGAGAGATTTCAGGATTTCGTTGGAAACGGGAATATCTTCATATAAAATCTCGACAGAAGCATTCTCAGAAACATCTTTGTGATATGTGCATTCAAGTCACAGAGTTGAATATTCCCTTTCACAGAGTAGGTTTGAAACACTCTTTTTGTAGTATCTGGAAGTGGACATTTGGAGCGCCTTGACGCCTACGGTGAAAAGGGAAATATCTTCCCATAAAAACTAGACAGAAGCAATCTCAGAATCTTCTTTGGGATATATGCACGCAGCTAACAGAGTTGAACCTTTCTTTTGACAGAGCAGTTTTGAAACAGTCTTTCTGTGGAATCTGCAAGTGGATATTTGGATAGCTTGGAGGATTTCGTTGGAAACGGTATTACGTATAAAAAGTAGACAGCCATCCTCAGAAACTTCTTTGTGATGTGTGCATTCAAGTCACAGAGTTGAACATTCCCTTTCGTACAGCAGTTTTGAAACACTCTTTCTGTAGTATCTGGAAGTGAACATTAGGACAGCTTTCAGGTCTATGGTGAGAAAGGAAATATCTTCAAATAAAAACTAGACAGAAGCATTCTCATAAACTTGTTTGTGATGTGTGAACTCAGCTAAGAGACGTGGATCTTTCTTTTGATAGAGCAGGTCTGAAAAACACGTTTTGTTGAATCTGCAAGTGGACATTTGGATAGATTTGAAGATTTCGTTGGAAACGGGAATAACTTCATATCAAATCTAGACAGAAGCATTCTCAGAAACGTCTTTGTGATGTTTGCATTCAACTCATAGAGTTGAACATTCCCTTTTAGAGAGCAGCTTTGAAGCACTCTTTTTGTAGTATGTGCAAGTGGATATTTGGAGCGCTCTGAGGTCTACGGTGAAAAAGCAAATATCTTCCCATAACCACTAGACAGAAACATTCTCAGAAACTCCTTTATGACGTATGTACTCAACTAACAGAGAAGAACCTTCCTTTTGACAGAGCAGTTTTGATACACTCTTTTTGTAGAATCTGCAAGTGGATATTTGGATAGCTGTGAAGATTTCGTTGGAAAAGGGAATATCTTCCTATAAAATCTAGACAGAAGCATTCTCAGAAACTGCTCTGTGATGTCTGCATTCAAGTCACACAGTTGAACATTGCCTTTCATAGAGCAGGTTTGAAACGCTCTTTTTGTAGTATATGGAAGTGGACGTTTCGGACGGTTTGAGGCCCATGGTGATAAAGGAAATATCTTCCCCTACAAGCTAGAAAGAAGCATTGTGTGAAACTTGTTTGTGATGTGTGTACTCAACTAACAGAGTTGAACCTTTCTTTTTACAGAGCAGTTTTGAAACACTCTTTTGTAGAATCTGCAAGGGGATATTTGGATACATTTCAGGATTTCGTTGGAAACGGGAATATCTTCATATAAAATCTCGACAGAAGCATTCTCAGAAGCTTCTTTGTGATATGTGCATTCAAGTCACAGACTTGAATATTCCCTTTCACAGAGTAGGTTTGAAACATTCTTTTTGTAGTATCTGGAAGTGGACATTTGGAGCGCCTTGACGCCTACGGTGAAAAGGGAAATATCTTCTCATAAAAAGTAGACACAAGCAATCTCAGAATCTCCTTTGGGATATATGCACGCAGCTAACAGAGTTGAACCTTTCTATTGACAGAGCAGTTTTGAAACAGTCTTTCTGTGGAATCTGCAATTGGATATTTGGATAGCTTGGAGGATTTCGTTGGAAACGGGATTTCGTATAAAAAGTAGACAGCAGCATCCTCAGAAACTTCTTTGTGATGTGTGCATTCAAGTCACAGGGTTGAACATTCCCTTTCGTACAACAGTTTTGAAACACTCTTTCTGTAGTATCTGAAGTGAACAATAGGACAGCTTTCAGGTCTATGATGAGAAAGGAAATATCTTCAAATAAAAACTAGACAGAAGCATTCTCATAAACTTGTTTGTGATGTGTGAACTCAGCTAACAGAGGTGGATCTTTCTTTTGATACAGCAGTTTTGAAAAACACTTTTTGTTGAATCTGCAAGTGGACATTTGGATAGATATGAAGATTTCGTTGGAAACGGGAATATCTTCATATCAAATCTAGACAGAAGCATTCTCAGAAACGTCTTTGTGATGTTTGCATTCAACTCATAGAGTTGAACATTCCGTTTCAGAGAGCAGCTGTGAGGCACTCTTTTTGTAGTATGTGCAAGTGGATATTTGGAGCGCTCTGAGGCCTACGGTGAAAAAGCAAATATCTTCCCATAACCACTAGACAGAAACATTCTCAGAAACTCCTTTATGACGTATGCACTCACCTAACAGAGAAGAACCTTCCTTTTGACAGAGCAGTTTTGATACACTCTTTTTGTAGAATCTGCAAGTGGATATTTGGATAGCTGCGAAGATTTCGTTGGAAACGGGAATATCTTCCTATAAAATCTAGACAGAAGCATTCTCAGACACTGCTCTGCGATGTCTGCATTCAAGTCACAGAGTTGAACATTGCCTTTCATAGAGCAGGTTTGAAACGCTCTTTTTGTAGTATATGGAAGTGGACTTATCGGACGGTTTGAGGCCCATGGTGATAAAGGGAATATCTTCCCCTACAAGCTAGAAAGAAGCATTCTGTGAAACTTGTTTGTGATGTGTGTACTCAACTAACAGAGTTGAACCTTTCTTTTTACAGAGCAGTTTTGAAACACTCTTTTTGTAGAATCTGCGAGGGGATATTTGGATACATTTCAGCATTTAGTTGGAAACGGGAATATCTTCATATAAAATCTCGACAGAAGCATTCTCAGAAACTTCTTTGTGATATGTGCATTCAAGTCACAGAGTTGAATGTTCCCTTTCACAGAGTAGGTTTGAAACACTCTTTTTGTAGTATCTGGAAGAGGACATTTGGAGCGCCTTGACGCGTACGGTGAAAAGGGAAATATCTTCTCATAAAAAGTAGACAGAAGCAATCTCAGAATCTTCTTTGGGATATATGCACGCAGCTAACAGAGTTGAACCTTTCTATTGACAGAGCAGTTTTGAAACAGTCTTTCTGTGGAATCTGCAAGTGGATATGTGGATAGATTGGAGGATTTCGTTGGAAACGGGATTACGTATAAAAATTAGACAGCAGCATCCTCAGAAACTTCTTTGTGATGTGTGCATTCAAGTCACAGAGTTGAACTTCCCTTTCGTACAGCAGTTTTGAAACACTCTTTCTGTAGTATCTGGAAGTGAACATTAGGACAGCTTTCAGGTCTATGGTGAGAAAGGAAATATCTTCAAATAAAAACTAGACAGAAGCATTCTCATAAACTTGTTTGTGATGTGTGAACTCCGCTAACAGAGGTGGATCTTTCTTTTGATAGAGCAGTTCTGAAAAACACTTTTTGTTGAATCTGCAAGTGGACATTTGGATAGATTTGAAGATTTCGTTGGAAACGGGAATATCTTCATATCAAATCTAGACAGACGCATTCTCAGAAACGTCTTTGTGATGTTTACATTCAACTCATAGAGTTGAACATTCCCTTTCAGAGAGCAGCTTTGAAGCACTCTTTTTGTAGCATGTGCAAGTGGACATTTGGAGCGCTCTGAGGCCTACGGGGAAAAAGCAAATATCTTCCCATAACCACTAGACAGAAACATTCTCAGAAACTTCTTTATGACGTATGTACTCAACTAGCAGAGAAGAACTGTCCTCTTGACAGAGCATTTTTGATACACTCTTTTTGTAGTATCTGCAAGTGGATATTTGGATAGCTGTGAAGATTTCGTTGGAATCGGGAATATCTTCCTATAAAGTCCGGACAGAAGCATTCTCAGAAACTGCTCTGTGATGTTTGCTTTCATGTCACAGAGTTGAACATTGCCTTTCATAGAGCAGGTTTCAAGCACTCTTTTTTTAGTATATGGAAGTGGACGTTTCGGACGGTTTGAGGCCCATGGTGATAAAGGAAATATCTTCCCCTAGAAGCTAGAAAGAAGCATTCTGTGAAACTTGTTTGTGATGTGTGTACTCAACTAACAGAGTTGAACCTTTCTTTTTACAGAGCACTTTTGAAACACTCTTTTTGTAGAATCTGCGAGGGGATATTTGGATAGATTTCAGGATTTCGTTGGAAACGGGAATATCTTCATATAAAATCTCGACAGAAGCATTCTCAGAAACTTCTTTGTGATATCTGCATTCAAGTCACAGAGTTGAATATTCCCTTTCACAGAGTAGGTTTGAAACACTCTTTTTGTAGTATCTGGAAGTGGACATTTGGAGCGCCTTGACGCCTACAGTGAAAAGGGAAATATCTTCCAATAAAAACTAGACAGAAAGCAATCTCAGAATCTTCTTTGGGATATATGCACGCAGCTAACAGAGTTGAACCTTTCTATTGACAGAGCAGTTTTGAAACAGTCTTTCTGTGGAATCTGCAAGTGGATATTTGGATAGCTTGGAGGATTTCGTTGGAAACGGGATTACGTATAAAAAGTAGACAGAGCATCCTCAGAAAATTCTTTGTGATGTGTGCATTCAAGTCACAGAGTTGAACATTCCCTTTCGTACAGCAGTTTTGAAACACTCTTTCTGTAGTATCTGGAAGTGAACATTAGGACAGCTTTCAGCTCTATGGTGAGAAAGGAAATATCTTCAAATAAAAACTAGACAGAAGCATTCTCATAAACTTGTTTGTGATGTCTGAACTCAGCTAACAGACGTGGATCGTTCTTTTGATACAGCAGTTTTGAAAAACACTTTTTGTTGAATCTGCAAGTGGACATTTGGATAGATTTGAAGATTTCGTTGGAAACGGGAATATCTTCATATCAAATCTAGACAGAAGCATTCTCAGAAACGTCGTTGTGATGTTTGCATTCAACTCATAGAGTTGAACATTCCGATTCAGAGAGCAGCTTTGAGGCACTCTTTTTGTAGTATGTGCAAGTGGATATTTGGAGCGCTCTGAGGCCTACGGTGAAAAAGCAAATATCTTCCCATAACCACTAGACAGAAACATTCTCAGAAACTCCTTTATGACGTATGCACTCACCTAACAGAGAAGAACCTTCCTTTTGACAGAGCAGTTTTGATACACTCTTTTTGTAGAGTCTGCAAGTGGATATTTGGATAGCTGTGAAGATTTCGTTGGAAACGGGAATATCTTCCTATAAAATCTAGACAGAAGCATTCTCAGAAACTGCTCTGTGATGTCTGTATTCAAGTCACAGAGTTGAACATTGCCTTTCATAGAGCAGGTTTGAAACGCTCTTTTTGTAGTATATGTAAGTGGATGTTTCGGACGGTTGGAGGCCCATGGTGATAAAGGGAATATCTTCCCCTACAAGCTAGAAAGAAGCATTCTGTGAAACTTGTTTGTGATGTGTGTACTCAACTAACAGAGTTGAACCTTTCTTTTTACAGAGCAGTTTTGAAACACTCTTTTTGTAGAATCTGCGAGGGGATATTTGGAGAGATTTCAGGATTTCGTTGGAACCGGGAATATCTTCATATAAAATCTCGACAGAAGCATTCTCAGAAACTTCTTTGTGATATCTGCATTCAAGTCACAGAGTTGAATATTCCGTTTCACAGAGTAGGTTTGAAACACTCTTTTTGTAGTATCTGGAAGTGGACATTTGGAGCGCCTTGACACCTACGGTGAAAAGGGAAATATCTTCCCATAAAAACTAGACAGAAGCAATCTCAGAATCTTCTTTGGGATATATGCACGCAGCTAACAGAGTTGAACCTTTCTATTGACAGAGCAGTTTTGATACAGTCTTTCTGTGGAATCTGCAAGTGGATATTTGGATAGCTTGGAGGATTTCGTTGGAAACGGGATTACGTATAAAAAGTAGACAGCAGCATCCTCAGAAACTTCTTTGTGATGTGTGCATTCAAGTCACAGAGTTGAACATTCCCTTTCGTACAGCAGTTTTGAAACACTCTTTCTGTAGTATCTGGAAGTGAACATTAGGACAGCTTTCAGGTCTCTGGTGAGAAAGGAAATATCTTCAAATAAAAACTAGACAGAAGCATTCTCATAAACTTGTTTGTGATGTGTGAACTCAGCTAACAGAGGTGGATCTTTCTTTTGATAGAGCAGTTCTGAAAAACACGTTTTGTTGAATCTGCAAGTGGACATTTGGATAGATTTGAAGATTTCTTTGGAAACGGGAATATCGTCATATCAAATCTAGACAGAAGCATTCTCAGAAACGTCTTTGTCATGTTTGCATTCAACTCATAGAGTTGAACATTCCCTTTCAGAGAGCAGCTTTGAAACACTCTTTTTGTAGTATGTGCAAGTGGATATTTGGAGCGCTCTGAGGCCTACGGTGAAAAAGCAAATATCTTCCCATAACCACTAGACAGAAACATTCTCAGAAACTCCTTTATGACGTATGCACTCACCTAACAGAGAAGAACCTTCCTTTTGACAGAGCAGTTTTGATACACTCTTTTTGTAGAATCTGCAAGTGGATATTTCGATAGCTGTGAAGATTTTGTTGGAAACGGGAATATCTTCCTATAAAATCTAGACAGAAGCATTCTCAGAAACTGCTCTGTGATGTCTGCATTCAAGTCACAGAGTTGAACATTGCCTTTCATAGAGCAGGTTTGAAACGCTCTTTTTGTAGTATATGGAAGTGGACGTTTCGGACGGTTTGAGGCCCATGGTGATAAGGGGAATATCATTCCCCTACAAGCTAGAAAGAAGCATTCTGTGAAACTTGTGATGTGTGTACTCAACTAACAGAGTTGAACCTTTCTTTTTACAGAGCAGTTTTGAAACACTCTTTTTGTAGAATCTGCGAGGGGATATTTGGATAGATTTCAGGATTTCGTTGGAAACGGGAATATCTTCATATAAAATCTCGACAGAAGCATTCTCAGAAACTTCTTTGGAATATGTGTATTCAAGTCACAGAGTTGAATACTCCCTTTCACAGAGTAGGTTTGAAACACTCTTTTTGTAGTATCTGGAAGTGGACATTTTGAGCGCCTTGACGCCTACGGTGAAAAGGGAAATATCTTCCCATAAAAACTAGACAGAAGCAATCTCAGAATCTTCTTTGGGATATATGCACGCAGCTAACAGAGTTGAACCTTTCTATTGACAGAGCAGTTTTGAAACAGTCTTTCTGTGGAATCTGGAAGTGGATATTTGGATAGCTTGGAGGATTTCGTTGGAAACGGGATTAAGTATAAAAAGTAGACAGCAGCATCCTCAGAAACTTCTTTGTGATGTGTGCATTCAAGTCACAGAGTTGAACATTCCCTTTCGTACAGCAGTTTTGAAACACTCTTTCTGTAGTATCTGGAAGTGAACATTAGGACAGCTTTCAGCTCTATGGTGAGAAAGGAAATATCTTTAAATAAAAACGAGACAGAAGCATTCTCATAAACTTTTTGTGATGTGTGAACTCAGCTAACAGAGGTGGATCTTTCTTTTGATAGAGAAGTACTGAAAAACACTTTTTGTTGAATCTGCAAGTGGACATTTGGATAGATTTGAAGATTTCGTTGGAAACGGGAATATCTTCATATCAAATCTAGACAGAAGCATTCTCGGAAACGTCTTTGTCATGTTTGCATTCAACTCATAGAGTTGAACATTCCGTTTCAGAGAGCAGCTTTGAAGCACTCTTTTTGTAGTATGTGCAAGGGGATATTTGGAGCGCTCTGAGGCCTAAGGTGAAAATGCAAATATCTTCCCATAACCACTAAACAGAAACATTCTCATAAACTCCTTTATGACGTATGTACTCAACTAACAGAGAAGAACCTTCCTTTTGACAGAGCCGTTTTGATACACTCTTTTTGTAGAATCTGCAAGTGGATATTTGGATAGCTGTGAAGATTTCGTTGGAAACGGGAATATCTTCCTATAAAATCTAGACAGAAGCATTCTCAGAAAGTGCTCTGTGATGTCTGCATTCAAGTCACAGAGTTGAACATTGCCTTTCATAGAGCAGGTTTGAAACACTCTTTTTGTAGTATATGGAAGTGGACGTTTCGGACGGTTTGAGGCCCATGGTGATAATGGGAATATCTTCCCCTACAAGCTAGAAAGAAGCATTCTGTGAAACTTGTTTGTGATGTGTGTACTCAACTAACAGGGTTGAACCTTTCTTTTTACAGAGCAGTTTTGAAACACTCTTTTTGTAGAATCTGCGAGGGGATATTTGGATAGATTTCAGGATTTCATTGGAAACGGGAATATCTTCATATAAAATCTCGACAGAAGCATTCTCAGAAACTTCTTTGTGATATGTGCATTCAAGTCACAGAGTTGAATATTCCCTTTCACAGAGTAGGTTTAAAACACTCTTTTTGTAGTATCTGGAAGTGGACATTTGGAGCGCCTTGACGCCTACGGTGAAAAGGGAAATATCTTCTCATAAAAACTAGACAGAAGCAATCTCAGAATCTTCTTTGGGATATATGCACGCAGCTAATAGAGTTGAACTTTTCTATTGACAGAGCAGATTTCAAACAGTCTTTCTGTGGAATCTGCAAGTGGATATTTGGATAGCCTGGAGGATTTCGTTGGAAACGGGATTACGTATAAAAAGTAGACAGCAGCATCCTCAGAAACATCCTTGTGATGTGTGCATTCAAGTCACAGAGTTGAACATTTCCTTTCGTACAGCAGTTTTGAAACACTCTTTCTGTAGTATCTGGAAGTGAACTTTAGGAGAGCTTTCAGGTCTATAGTGAGAAAGGATATATCTTCAAATAAAAACTAGACAGAAGCATTCTCATAAACTTGTTTGTGATGTGTGAACTCAGCTAACAGAGGTGGATCTTTCTTTTGATAGAGCAGTTCTGAAAAACACTTTTTGTTGAATCTGCAAGTGTACATTTGGATAGATTTGAAGATTTCCTTGGAAACGGGAATATCTTCATATCAAATCTAGACAGAAGAATTCTCAGAAACGTCTTTGTGATGTTTGCATTCAACTCATAGAGTTGAACATTCCCTTTCAGAGAGCAGCTTTGAAGCACTCTTTTTGTAGTATGTGCAAGTGGATATTTGGAGCGCTCTGAGGCCTACGGTGAAAAATCAAATATCTTCCCATAACCACTAGACAGAAACATTCTCAGAAACTCCTTTATGACGTATGTACTCAACTAACAGAGAAGAACCTTCCTTTTGACAGAGCAGTTTTGATACACTCTTTTTGTAGAATCTGCAAGTGGATATTTGGATAGCTGTGAAGATTTTGTTGGAAACGGGAATATAAAATCTAGACAGAAGCATTCTCAGAAACTGCTCTGTGATGTCTGCATTCAAGTCACAGAGTTGAACATTGCCTTTCATAGAGCAGGTTTGAAACGCTCTTTTTCTAGTATATGGAAGTTGGACGTTTCGGACGGTTTGAGGCCCATGGTGATAAAGGGAATATCTTCCCCTACAAGCTAGAAAGAACCATTGTGTGAAACTTGTTTGTGATGTGTGTACTCAACTAACAGAGTTGAACCTTTCTTTTTACAGAGCAGTTTTGAAACACTCTTTTTGTAGAATCTGCGAGGGGATATTTGGATAGATTTCAGCATTTCGTTGGAAACGGGAATATCTTCATATAAAATCTCGACAGAAGCATTCTCAGAAACTTCTTTGTGATATGTGCATTCAAGTCACAGAGTTGAATATTCCCTTTCACAGAGTAGGTTTGAAACACTCTTTTTGTAGTATCTGGAAGTGGACATTTGGAGCGCCTTGACGCCCACGGTGAAAAGGGAAATATCTTCCCATAAAAACTAGACAGAAGCAATCTCAGAATCTTCTTTGGGATATATGCACGCAGCTAACAGAGTTGAACCTTTCTATTGACAGAGCAGTTTTGTAACAGTCTTTCTGTGGAATCTGCAAGTGGATATTTGGATAGCTTGGAGGATTTCGTTGGAAACGGGTTTACGTATAAAAAGTAGACAGCAGCATCCTCAGAAACTTCTTTGTGATGTGTGCATTCAAGTCACAGAGTTGAACATTCCCTTTCGTAGAGCAGTTTTGAAACACTCTTTCTATAGTATCTGGAAGTGAACATTAGGACAGCTTTCAGGTCTATGGTGAGAAAGGAAATATCTTCAAATAAAAATTAGACAGAAGCATTCTCATAAACTTGTTTGTGATGTGTGAACTCAGCTAACAGAGATGGATCTTTCTTTTGATAGAGCAGATCTGAAAAACACTTTTTGTTGAATCTGCAATTGGACATTTGGATAGATTTGAAGATTTCGTTGGAAACGGGAATATCTTCATATCAAATCTAGACAGAAGCATTCTCAGAAACTTCTTTGTGATGTTTGCATTCAACTCATAGAGTTGAACATTCCATTTCAGAGAGCAGCTTTGAGGCACTCTTTTTGTAGTATGTGCAAGTGGATAGTTGGAGCGCTCTGAGGCCTACGGTGAAAAAGCAAATATCTTCCCATAACCACTAGACAGAAACATTCTCAGAAACTCCTTTATGACGTATGCACTCATCTAACAGAGAAGAACCTTCCTTTTGACAGAGCAGTTTTGATACACTCTTTTTGTAGAATCTGCAAGTGGATATTTGGATAGCTGTGAAGATTTCTTTGGAAACGGGAATATCTTCCTATAAAATCTAGACAGAAGCATTCTCAGAAACTGCTCTGTGATGTCTGCATTCAAGTCACAGAGTTGAACATTGCCTTTCATAGAGCAGGTTTGAAACGCTCTTTTTGTAGTATATAAAAGTGGACGTTTCGGACGGTTTGAGGCCCATGGTGATAAAGGGAATATCTTCCCCTACAAGCTAGAAAGAAGCATTCTGTGAAACTTGTTTGTGATGTGTGTACTCAACTAACAGAGTTGAACCTTTCTTTTTACAGAGCAGTTTTGAAACACTCTTTTTGTAGAATCTGCGAGGGGATATTTGTATAGATTTCAGGATTTTGTTGGAAACGGGAATATCTTCATATAAAATCTCGACAGAAGCATTCTCAGAAACTTCTTTGTGATATGTGTATTCAAGTCACAGAGTTGAATATTCCCTTTCACAGAGTAGGTTTGAAACACTCTTTTTGTAGTATCAGGAAGTGGACATTTGGAGCGCCTTGACACTTATGGTGAAAAGGGAAATATCTTCCCATAAAAACTAGACAGAAGCATTCTGTGAAACTTGTTTGTGATGTTTGTACTCAACTAACAGAGTTGAACCTTTCTTTTTAGAGAGCAGTTTTGAAACACTCTTTCTGTAGAATCTGCAAGGGGATATTTGGATAGATTTCAGGATTTCGTTGGAAACGGGAATATCTTCATATAAAATCTCGACAGAAGCATTCTCAGAAACTTCTTTGTGATGTGTGCATTCAAGTCACAGAGTTGAACATTCCCTTTCGTACAGCAGTTTTGAAACACTCTTTCTGTAGTATCTGGAAGTGAACATTAGGACAGCTTTCAGCACTACGGTGAGAAAGGAAATATCTTCAAATAAAAACTAGACAGAAGCATTCTCATAAACTTTTTTGTGATGTGTGAACTCAGCTAACAGAGGTGGATCTTTCTTTTGATAGAGCAGTTCTGAAAAACACTTTTTGTTGAATCTGCAAGTGGACATTTGGATAGATTTGAAGATTTCGTTGGAAACGGGAATATCTTCATATCAAATCTAGACAGACAGCATTCTCAGAAACGTCTTTGTGATGTTTGCATTCAACTCATAGAGTTGAACATTCCCTTTCAGAGAGCAGCTTTGAAGCACTCTTTTTGTAGCATGTGCAAGTGGACATTTGGAGCGCCCTGAGGCCTACGGGGAAAAAGCAAATATCTTCCCATAACCACTAGACAGAAACATTCTCAGAAACTCCTTTATGACGTATGCACTCACCTAACAGAGAAGAACCTTCCTTTTGACAGAGCAGTTTTGATACACTCTTTTTGTAGAATCTGCATGTGGATATTTGGATAGCTGTGAAGATTTCGTTGGAAACGGGAATATCTTCCTATAAAATCTAGACAGAAGCATTCTCAGAAACTGCTCTGTGATGTCTGCATTCAAGTCACAGAGTTGAACATTGCCTTTGATAGAGCAGGTTTGAAACGCTCTTTTTGTAGTATATGGAAGTGGACGTTTCGGACGGTTTGAGGCCCATGGTGATAAAGGGAATATCTTCCCCTACAAGCTAAAAAGAAGCATTGTGTGAAACTTGTTTGTGATGTGTGTACTCAACTAACAGAGTTGAACCTTTCTTTTTACAGAGCAGTTTTGAAACACTCTTTTTGTAGAATCTGCGAGGGGATATTTGGATACATTTCAGCATTTCGTTGGAAACGGGAATATCTTCATATAAAATCTCGACAGAAGCATTCTCAGAAACTTCTTTGTGATATCTGCCTTTAAGTCACAGCAGTTGAATATTCCCTTTCACAGAGTAGGTTTGAAACACTCTTTTTGTAGTATCTGGAAGTGGACATTTGGAGCGCCTTGACACCTACGGTGAAAAGGGAAATATCTTCCCATAAAAACTAGACAGAAGCAATCTCAGAATCTTCTTTGGGATATATGCACGCAGCTAACAGAGTTGAACCTTTCTATTGACAGAGCAGTTTTGAAACAGTCTTTCTGTGGAATTTGCAAGTGGATATTTGGATAGCTTGGAGGATTTCGTTGGAAACGGGATTACGTATAAAAAGTAGACAGCACCATCCTCAGAAACTTCTTTGTGATGTGTGCATTCAAGTCACAGAGTTGAACATTCCCTTTCGTACAGCAGTTTTGAAACACTCTTTCTGTAGTATCTGGAAGTGAACATTAGGACAGCTTTCAGGTCGATGGTGAGAAAGGAAATACCTTCAAATAAAAACTAGACAGAAGCATTCTCATAAACTTGTTTGTGATGTGTGAACTCAGCTAACAGAGGTGGATCTTTCTTTTGATAGAGCAGTTCTGAAAAACACTTTTTGTTGAATCTGCAAGTGGACATTTGGATAGATTTGAAGATTTCGTTCCAAACGGGAATATCTTCATATCAAATCTAGACAGAAGCATTCTCAGAAAACGTCTTTGTGATGTTTGCATTCAACTCATAGAGTTGAACATTCCGTTTCAGAGAGCAGGTTTGAAGCACTCTTTTTGTAGTATGTGCAAGTGGATATTTGGAGCGCTCTGAGGCCTACGGTGAAAAAGCAAATATCTTCCCATAACCACTAGACAGAAACATTCTCAGAAACTCCTTTATGACGTATGCACTCACCTAACAGAGAAGAACCTTCCTTTTGACAGAGCAGTTTTGATACACTCTTTTTGTAGAATCTGCAAGTGGATATTTGGATACCTGTGAAGATTTCGTTGGAAACGGGAATATCTTCCTATAAAATCTAGACAGAAGCATTCTCAGAAACTGCTCTGGGATGTCTGCATTCAAGTCACAGAGTTGAACATTGCCTTTCATAGAGCAGGTTTGAAACGCTCTTTTTGTAGTATATGGAAGTGGACTTATCGGACGGTTTGAGGCCCATGGTGATAAAGGGAATATCTTCCCCTACAAGCTAGAAAGAAGCATTCTGTGAAACTTGTTTGTGATGTGTGTACTCAACTAACAGAGTTGAACCTCTCTTTTTACAGAGCAGTTTTGAAACACTCTTTTTGTAGAATCTGCGAGGGGATATTTGGATACATTTCAGCATTTCGTTGGAAACGGGAATATCTTCATATAAAATCTCGACAGAAGCATTCTCAGAAACTTCTTTGTGATATCTGCATTCAAGTCACAGAGTTGAATATTCCCTTTCACAGAGTAGGTTTGAAACACTCTTTTTGTAGTATCTGGAAGTGGACATTTGGAGCGCCTTGACGCCTACGGTGAAAAGGGAAATATCTTCCATAAAAACTAGACAGAAGCAATCTCAGAATCTTCTTTGGGATATATGCACGCAGCTAACAGAGTTGAACCTTTCTATTGACAGAGTAGTTTTGAAACAGTCTTTCTGTGGAATCTGCAAGTGGATATTTGGATAGCTTGGAGGATTTCGTTGGAAACGGGATTAAGTATAAAAAGTAGACAGCAGCATCCTCAGAAACTTCTTTGTGATGTGTGCATTCAAGTCACAGAGTTGAACATTCCCTTTCCCACAGCAGTTTTGAAACACTCTTTCTGTAGTATCTGGAAGTGAACATTAGGACAGCTTTCAGGTCTATGGTGAGAAAGGAAATATCTTCAAATAAAAACTAGACAGAAGCATTCTCATAAACTTGTTTGTGATGTGTGAACTCAGCTAACAGAGGTGGATCTTTCTTTTGATACAGCAGTTCTGAAAAACACTTTTTGTTGAATCTGCAAGTGGACATTTGGATAGATTTGAAGATTTCGTTGGAAACGGGAATATCTTCATATCAAATCTAGACAGAAGCATTCTCAGAAACGTCTTTCCGATGTTTGCATTCAACTCATAGAGTTGAACATTCCGTTTCAGAGAGCAGCTTTGAGGCACTCTTTTTGTAGTATGTGCAAGTGGATATTTGGAGCGCTCTGAGGCCTACGGTGAAAAAGCAAATATCTTCCCATAACCACTAGACAGAAACATTCTCAGAAACTCCGTTTATGACGTATGCACTCACCTAACAGAGAAGAACCTTTCTTTTGACAGAGCAGTTTTCATACACTCTTTTGGTAGAATCTGCAAGTGGATATTTGGATAGCTGTGAAGATTTCGTTGGAAACGGGAATATCTTCCTATAAAATCTAGACAGAAGCATTCTCAGAAACTGCTCTGTGATGTCTGCATTCAAGTCACAGAGTTCAACATTGCCTTTCATAGAGCAGGTATGATACGCTCTTTTTGTAGTATGTGGAAGTGGACGTTTCGGACGGTTTGAGGCCCATGGTGATAAAGGGAATATCTTCCCCTACAAGCTAGAAAGAAGCATTCTGTGAAACTTGTTTGTGATGTGTGTACTCAACTAACAGGGTTGAACCTTTCTTTTTACAGAGCAGTTTTGAAACACCCTTTGTAGAATCTGCGAGGGGATATTTGGATAGATTTCAGGATTTCGTTGGAAACGGGAATATCTTCATATAAAATCTCGACAGAAGCATTCTCAGAGACTTCATTGTGATATCTGCATTCAAGTCACAGAGTTGAATATTCCCTTTCACAGGGTAGGTTTGAAACACTCTTTTTGTAGTATCTGGAAGTGGACATTTGGAGCGCCTTGACACCTACGGTGAAAAGGGAAATATCTTCCCATAAAAACTAGACAGAAGCAATCTCAGAATCTTCTTTGGGATATATGCACGCAGCTAACAGAGTTGAACCTTTCTATTGACAGAGCAGTTTTGAAACAGTCTTTCTGTGGAATCTGCAAGTGGATATTTGGATAGCTTGGAGGATTTCGTTGGAAACGTCATTACGTATAAAAAGTAGACAGCAGCATCCTCAGAAACTACTTTGTGATGTGTGCATTCAAGTCACAGAGTTGAACATTCCCTTTCGTACAGCAGTTTTGAAACACTCTTTCTGTAGTATCTGGAAGTGAACATTAGGACAGCTTTCAGGTCTATGGTGAGAAAGGCAATATCTTCAAATAAAAACTAGATAGAAGCATTCTCATAAACCTGTTTGTGATGTGTGAACTCAGCTAACCGAGGTGGATCTTTCTTTTGATAGAGCAGTTCTGAAAAACACTTTTTGTTGAATCTGCAAGTGGACATTTGGATAGATTTGAAGATTTCGTTGGAAACGGGAATATCTTCATATCAAATCTAGACAGAAGCATTCTCAGAAACGTGTTTGTGATGTTTGCATTCAACCCATAGAGTTGAAGATTCCGTTTCAGAGAGCAGCTTTGAAGCGCTCTTTTTGTAGTATGTGCAAGGGGATATTTTGAGCGCTCTGAGGCCTAAGGTGAAAAAGCAAATATCTTCCCATAACCACTAGACAGAAACATTCTCAGAAACTTCTTTATGACGTATGTACTCAACTAGTAGAGAAGAACTTTCCTTTTGACAGAGCATTTTTGATACACTCTTGTTGTACTATCTGCAAGTGGATATTTGGATAGCTGTGAAGATTTCGTTGGAAACGGGAATATCTTCCTATAAAGTCTGGACAGAAGCATTCTCAGAAACTGCTCTGTGATGTCTGCATTCAAGTCACAGAGTTGAACATTGCCTTTCATAGAGCAGGTTTGAAACCCTCTTTTTGTAGTATATGGAAGTGGACGTTTCGGACGGTTTGAGGCCCATGGTGATAAAGGGAATATCTTCCCCTACCAGCTAGAAAGAAGCATTCTGTGAAACTTGTTTGTGGTGTGTGTACTCATCTTACAGAGTTGAACCTTTCTTTTTACAGAGCAGTTTTGAAACACTCTTTTTGTAGAATCTGCGAGGGGTTATTTGGATAGATTTCAGGATTTCGTTGGAAACGGGAATATCTTCATATAAAATCTCGACAGAAGCATTCTCAGAAACTTCTTTGTGATATGTGCATTCAAGTCACAGAGTTGAATATTCCCTTTCACAGAGTAGGTTTGAAACACTCTTTTTGTAGTATCTGGAAGTGGACATTTGGAGCGCCTTGACGCCTACGGAGAAAAGGGAAATATCTTCCCATAAAAACTAGACAGAAGCAATCTCAGAATCTTCTTTGGGATATATGTACGCAGCTAATAGAGTTGAACCTTTCTATTGACAGAGCAGTTTTGAAACAGTCTTTCTGTGGAATCTGCAAGTGGATATTTGGATAGCTTGGAGGATTTCGTTGGAAACGGGATTACGTATAAAAAGTAGACAGCAGCATCCTCAGAAACTTCTTTGTGATGTGTGCATTCAAGTCACAGAGTTGAACATTCCCTTTCGTACAGCAGTTTTGAAACACTCTTTCTGTAGTATCTGGAAGTGAACATTAGGACAGCTTTCAGGTCTATGGTGAGAAAGGAAATATCTTCAAATAAAAACAAGACAGAAGCATTCTCATAAACTTGTTTGTGATGTGTGAACTCAGCTAACAGAGGTGGATCTTTCTTTTGATAGAGCAGTTCTGAAAAACACTTTTTGTTGAATCTGCAAGTGGACATTTGGATAGATTTGAAGATTTCGTTGGAAACGGGAATATCTTCATATCAAATGTAGACAGAAGCATTCTCAGAAACGTCTTTGTGATGTTTGCATTCAACTCATAGAGTTGAACATTCCCTTTCAGAGAGCAGCTTTGAAGCACCTCTTTTTGTAGTATGTGCAAGTGGATATTTGGAGCGCTGTGAGGCCTACGGTGAAAAAGCAAATATCTTCCCATAACCACTAGACAGAAACATTCTCAGAAACTCCTTTATGACGTATGCACTCACCTAACAGAGAAGAACCTTCCTTTTGACAGAGTAGTTTGGATACACTCTTTTTGTAGAATCTGCAAGTGGATATTAGGATAGCTGTGAAGATTTCGTTGGAAACGGGAATATCTTCCTATAAAATCTAGACAGAAGCATTCTCAGAAACTGCTCTGTGATGTCTGCATTCAAGTCACAGAGTTGAACATTGCTTTTCCTAGAGCAGGTTTGAAACGCTCTTTTTGTAGTATATGGAAGTGGACGTTTCGGACGGTTTGAGGCCCATGGTGTTAAAGGGAAATATCTTTCCCTACAAGCTAGAAAGAAGCATTCTGTGAAACTTGTTTGTGATGTGTGTACTCAACTAACAGAGTTGAACCTTTCTTTTTACAGAGCAGTTTTGAAACACTCTTTTTGTAGAATCTGCGAGGGGATATTTGGATAGATTTCAGGATTTCGTTGGAAACGGGAATATCTTCATAGAAAATCTCGACAGAAGCATTCTCTGAAACTTCTTTGTGATATGTGCACTCAAGTCACAGAGTTGAATATTCCCTTTCACAGAGTAGGTTTGAAACACTCTTTTTGTAGTATCTGGAAGTGGACATTTGTAGCTCCTTGACACCTACGGTGAAAAGGGAAATATCTTCCCATAAAAACTAGACAGAAGCAATCTCAGAATCTTCTTTGGGATATATGCACGCAGCTAACAGAGTTGAACCTTTCTATTGACAGACCAGTTTTGAAACAGTCTTTCTGTGGAATCTGCAAGTGGATATTTGGATAGCTTGGAGGATTTCGTTGGAAACGGGATTACGCATAAAAAGTAGACAGCAGCATCCTCCGAAACTTCTTTGTGATGTGTGCATTCAAGTCACAGAGTTGAACATTCCCTTTCGTACAGCAGTTTTGAAACACTCTTTCTGTAGTATCTGGAAGTGAACATTAGGACAGCTTTCAGCTCTATGGTGAGAAAGGAAATATCTTCAAATAAAAACTAGACAGAAGCATTCTCATAAACTTGTTTGCGATGTGTGAACTCAGCTAACAGAGATGGATCTTTCTTTTGATAGAGCAGTTCTGAAAAACACTTTTTGTTGAATCTGCAAGTGGACATTTGGATAGATTTGAAGATTTCGTTGGAAACGGGAATATCTTCATATCAAATCTAGACAGAAGCATTCTCCGAAACGTCTTTGCGATGTTTGCATTCAACTCATAGAGTTGAACATTCCGTTTCAGAGAGCAGCTTTGAGGCACTCTTTTTGTAGTATGTGCAAGTGGATATTTGGAGCGCTCTGAGGCCTACGGTGAAAAAGCAAATATCTTCCCATAACCACTAGACAGAAGCATTCTCAGAAACTCCTTTATGACGTATGCACTCACCTAACAGAAAAGAACCTTCCTTTTGACAGAGCAGTTTTGATACACTCTTTTTGTAGAATCTGCAAGTGGATATTTGGATAGCTGTGAAGATTTCGTTGGAAACGGGAATATCTTCCTATAAAATTTAGACAGAAGCATTCTCAGAAACTGCTCTGTGATGTCTGCATTCAAGTCACAGAGTTGAACATTGCCTTTCATACAGCAGGTTTGAAATGCTCTTTTTGTAGTATATGGAAGTGGACTTTTCGGACGGTTTGAGGACCATGGTGATAAAGGGGAATCTTCCCCTACAAGCTAGAAAGAAGCATTCTGTTAAACTTGTTTGTGATGTGTGTACTCAACTAATAGATTTGAACCTTTCTTTTTACAGAGCAGTTTTGAAACACTCTTTTTGTAGAATCTGCGAGGGGATATTTGGATAGATTTCAGGATTTCGTTGGAAACGGGAATATCTTCATATAAAATCTCGAAAGAAGCATTCTCAGAAACTTCCTTGTGATATGTGCATTCAAGTCACAGAGTTGAATATTCCCTTTCACAGAGTAGGTTTGAAACACTCTTTTTGTAGTATCTGGAAGTCGACATTTGGAGCGCCTTGACACCTACGGTGAAAAGGGAAATATCTTCCCATAAAAACTAGACAGAAGCAATCTCAGAATCTTCTTTGGGATATATGCACGCAGCTAACAGAGTTGAACCTTTCTATTGACAGAGCAGTTTTGAAACAGTCTTTCTGTGGAATCTGTAAGTGGATATTTGGATAGCTTGGAGGATTTCGTTGGAAACGGGATTACGTATAAAAATTAGACAGCAGCATCCTCAGAAACTTCTTTGTGATGTGTGCATTCAAGTCACAGCAGTTGAACATTCCCTTTCGTACAGCAGTTTTGAAACACTCTTTCTGTAGTATCTGGAAGTGAACATTAGGACAGCTTTCAGGTCTAGGGTGAGAAAGGAAATACCTTCAAATAAAAACTAGACAGAAGCATTCTCATAAACTTGTTTGTGATGTGTTAACTCAGCTAACAGAGGTGGATCTTTCTTTTGATAGAGCAGTTCTGAAAAACACTTTTTGTTGAATCTGCAAGTGGACATTTGGATAGATTTGAAGATTTCTTTGGAAACGGGAATATCTTCATATCAAATCTAGACAGATAGGCATTCTCAGAAACGTCTTTGTGATGTTTGCATTCAACTCATAGAGTTGAACATTCCCTTTCAGAGAGCAGCTTTGAAGCACTCTTTTTGTAGTATGTGCAAGGGGATATTTGGAGCGCTCTGAGGCCTAAGGTGAAAAAGCAAATATCTTCCCATAACCACTAGACAGAAACATTCTCAGAAACTCCTTTATGACGTATGTACTCAACTAACAGAGAAGAACCTTCCTTTTGACAGAGCAGTTTTGATACACTCTTTTTGTAGAATCTGCAAGTGGATATTTGGATAGCTGTGAAGATTTCATTGGAAACGGGAATATCTTCCTATAAAATCCAGACAGAAGCATTCTCAGAAACTGCTCTGTGATGTCTGCATTCAAGTCACAGAGTTGAACATTGCCTTTCATAGAGTAGGTTTGAAACGCTCTTTTTGTAGTATATGGAAGTAGACGTTTCGGACGGTTTGAGGCCCATGGTGATAAAGGGAATATCTTCCCCTACAAGCTAGAAAGAAGCATTCTGTGAAACTTGTTTGTGATGTGTGTACTCAACTAACAGAGTTGGACCTTTCTTTTTACAGAGCAGTTTTGAAACACTCTTTTTGTAGAATCTGCGAGGGGATATTTGGATAGATTTCAGGATTTCGTTGGAAACGGGAATATCTTCATATAAAATCTCGACAGAAGCATTCTCAGAAACTTCCTTGTGATATGTGCATTCAAGTCACAGAGTTGAATATTCCCTTTCACAGAGTAGGTTTGAAACTCTCTTTTTGTAGTATCTGGAAGTGGTCATTTGGAGCGCCTTGACGCCTACGGTGAAAAGGGAAATATCTTCCCATCAAAACTAGACAGAAGCAATCTCAGAATCTTCTTTGGGATATATGCACGCAGCTAACAGAGTTGAACCATTCTATTGACAGAGCAGTTTTGAAACAGTCTTTCTGTGGAATCTGCAAGTGGATATTTGGATAGCTTGGAGGATTTCGTTGGAAACGGGATTACGTATAAAAAGTAGACAGCAGCATCCTCAGTAAACATCCTTGTGATGTGTGCATTCAAGTCACAGAGTTGAACATTCCCTTTCGTACAGCAGTTTTGAAACACTCTTTCTGTAGTATCTGGAAGTGAACTTTAGGACAGCTTTCAGGTCTATAGTTAGAAAGGATATATCTTCAAATAAAAACTAGACGGAAGCATTCTCATAAACTTGTTTGTGATGTGTGAACTCAGCTAACAGAGGTGGACCTTTCTTTTGATAGAGCAGTTCTGAAAAACACTTTTTGTTGAATCTGCAAGTGGACATTTGGATAGATTTGAAGATTTCGTTGGAAACGGGAATATCTTCATATCAAATCTAGACAGAAGCATTCTCAGAAACGTCTTTGCGATGTTTGCATTCAACTCATAGAGTTGAACACTCCGTTTCAGAGAGCAGCTTTGAGGCACTCTTTTTGTAGTATGTGCAAGTGGATATTTGGAGCGCTCTGAGGCCTACGGTGAAAGAGCAAATATCTTCCCATAACCACTAGACAGAAACATTCTCAGAAACTCCTCTTATGACGTATGTCATCTCAACTAACAGAGAAGAACCTTCCTTTTGACAGAGCAGTTTTGATACACTCTTTTTGTAGAATCTGCAAGTGGATATTTGGATAGCTGTGAAGATTTCGTTGGAAACGGGAATATCTTCCTATATAATCTAGACAGAAGCATTCTCAGAAACTGCTCTGTGATGTGTGCATTCAAGTCACAGAGTTGAACATTGACTTTCATAGAGCAGGTTAGAAACGCTCTTTTTGTACTATATGGAAGAGGACGTTTCGGACGGTTTGAGGACCATGGTGATAAAGGGAATATCTTCCCCTACAAGCTAGAAAGAAGCATTCTGTGATACTTGTTTGTGATGTGTGTACTCAACTAACAGAGTTGAACCTTTCTTTTTACAGAACAGTTTTGAAACACTCTTTTTGTAGAATCTGCGAGGGGATATTTGGATAGATTTCAGGATTTCGTTGGAAACGGGAATATCTTCATATAAAATCTCGACAGAAGCATTCTCAGAAACTTCTTTGTGATATGTGCATTCAAGTCACAGAGTTGAATATTCCCTTTCACAGAGTAGGTTTGAAACACTCTTTTTGTAATATCTGGAAGTGGACATTTGGAGCACCTTGACGCCTACGGTGAAAAGGGAAATATCTTCCCATAAAAACTAGACAGAAGCAATCTCAGAATCTTCTTTGGGATATATGCATGCAGCTAACAGAGTTGAACCTTTCTATTGACAGAGCAGTTTTGAAACAGTCTTTCTGTGGAATCTGCAAGTGGATATTTGGATAGCCTGGAGGATTTCGTTGGAAACGGGATTACGTATAAAAAGTAGACAGCAGCATCCTCAGAAACTTCTTTGTGATGTGTGCATTCAAGTCACAGAGTTGAACATTCCCTTTCGTACAGCAGTTGTGAAACACTCTTTCTGTAGTATCTGCAAGTGAACATTAGGACAGTTTTCAGGTCTATGGTGAGAAAGGAAATATCTTCAAATAAAAACTAGACAGAAGCATTCTCATAAACTTGTTTGTGATGTGTGAACTCAGCTAACAGAGGTGGATCTTTCTTTTGATAGAGCAGTTCTGAAAAACACTTTTTGTTGAATCTGCAAGTGGACATTTGGATAGATTTGAAGATTTCGTTGGTAACGGGAATATCTTCATATCAAATCTAGACAGAAGCATTCTCAGAAACGTCTTTGTCATGTTTGCATTCAACTCATAGAGTTGAACATTCCCTTTCAGAGAGCAGCTTTGAAACACTCTTTTTGTAGTATGTGCAAGTGGATATTTGGAGCGCTCTGAGGCCTACGGTGAAAAAGCAAATATCTTCCCATAACCACTAGACTGAAACATTCTCAGAAACTTCTTTATGACGTATGTACTGAACTAGCAGAGAAGAACTGTCCTCTTGACAGAGCATTTTTGATACACTCTTTTTGTAGTATCTGCAAGTGGATATTTGGATAGCTGTGAAGATTTCGTTGGAATCGGGAATATCTTCCTATAAAGTCCGGACAGAAGCATTCTCAGAAACTGCTCTGTGATGTCTGCATTCAAGTCACAGAGCTGAACATTGCCTTTCATAGAGCAGGTTTGAAACGCTCTTTTTGTAGTATATGGAAGTGGACGTTTCGGACGGTTTGAGGCCCATGGTGATAAAGGGAATATACTTCCCCTACAAGCTAGAAAGAAGCATTCTGTGAAAATTGTTTGTGATGTGTGTACTCAACTAACAGAGTTGAACCTTTCTTTTTACAGAGCAGTTTTGAAACACTCTTTTTGTAGAATCTGCGAGGGGATATTTGGATAGATTTCAGGATTTTGTTGGAAACCGGAATATCTTAATATAAAATCTCGACAGAAGCATTCTCAGAAACTTTCCTTGTGATATGTGCATTCAAGTCACAGAGTTGAATATTCCCTTTCACAGAGTAGGTTTGAAACACTCTTTTTGTAGTATCTGGAAGTGGTCATTTGGAGCGCCTTGACGCCTACGGTGAAAAGGGAAATATCTTCCCATAAAAACTAGACAGAAGCAATCTCAGAAACTTCTTTGGGATATTTGCACGCAGCTAACAGAGTTGAACCTTTCTATTGACAGAGCAGTTTTGAAACAGTCTTTCTGTGGAATCTGCAAGTGGATATTTGGATAGCTTGGAGGATTTCGTTGGAAACGGGATTACGTGTAAAAATTAGACAGCAGCATCCTCAGAAACTTCTTTGTGATGTGTGCATTCAAGTCACAGAGTTGAACATTCCCTTTCGTACAGCAGTTTTGAAACACTCTTTCTGTAGTAACTGGAAGTGAACATTAGGACAGCTTTCAGGTCTATGGTGAGAAAGGAAATATCTTCAAATAAAAACTAGACAGAAGCATTCTCATAAACTTGTTTGTGATGTGTGAACGCAGCTAACACACGTGGATCTTTCTTTTGATAGAGCAGTTCTGAAAAACACTTTTTGTTGAATCTGCAAGTGGACATTTGGATAGATTTGAAGATTTCTTTGGAAACGGGAATATCTTCATATCAAATCTAGACAGAAGCATTCTCAGAAACGTCTTTGTGATGGTAGCATTCAGCTCATACAGTTGAACATTCCCTTTCAGAGAGCAGCTTTGAAGCACTCTTTTTGTAGTATGTGCAAGTGGACATTTGGAGCGCTTTGAGGTCTACGGGGAAAAAGCAAATATCTTCCCATATCCCCTAGACAGGAACATTCTCAGAAACTCCTTTATGACGTATGTACTCAACTAACGGAGAAGAACCTTCCTTTTGACAGAGCAGTTTTGATACACTCTTTTTGTAGAATCTGCAAGTGGATATTTGGATAGCTGTGAAGATTTCGTTGGAAACGGGAATATCTTCCTATAAAATCTAGACAGAAGCATTCTCAGAAACTGCTCTGTGATGTCTGCATTCAAGTCACAGAGTTGAACATTGCCTTTCCTAGAGCAGGTTTGAAACGCTCTTTGTGTAGTATATGGAAGTGGACGTTTCGGACGGTTTGAGGCCCATGGTGATAAAGGGAATATCTTCCCCTACAAGCTAGAAAGAAGCATTCTCATCAACTTGTTTGTGATGTGTGAACTCAGCTAACAGAGGTGGATCTTTCTTTTGATAGAGCAGTTCTGAAAAACACTTTTTGTTGAATCTGCAAGTGGACATTTGGATAGATTTGAAGATTTCGTTGGAAACGGGAATATCTTCATATAAAATCTCGACAGAAGCATTCTCAGAAACTTCCTTGTGATATGTGCATTCAAGTCACAGAGTTGAATATTCCCTTTCACAGAGTAGGTTTGAAACACTCTTTTTGTAGTATCTGGAAGTGGACATTTGGAGCGCCTTGACACCTACGGTGAAAAGGGAAATATCTTCCCATCAAAACTAGACAGAAGCTATCTCAGAATCTTCTTTGGGATATATGCACGTAGCTAACAGAGTTGAACCTTTCTTTTGACAGAGCAGTTTTGAAACAGTCTTTCTGTGGAATCTGCAAGTGGATATTTGGATAGCTTGGAGGATTTCGTTGGAAACGGGATTATGTATAAAAAGTAGACAGCAGCATCCTCAGAAACTTCTTTGTGATGTGTGCATTCAAGTCACAGAGTTGAACATTCCCTTTCGTACAGCAGTTTTGAAACACTCTTTCTGTAGTATCTGGAAGTGAACATTAGGACAGCTTTCAGCTCCTATGGTGAGAAAGGAAATATCTTCAAATAAAAACTAGACAGAAGCATTCTCATAAACTTGTTTGTGATGTGTGAACTCAGCTAACAGACGTGGATCTTTCTTTTGATACAGCAGTTTTGAAAAACACTTTTTGTTGAATCTGCAAGTGGACATTTGGATAGATTTGAAGATTTCCTTGGAAACGGGAATATCTTCATATCAAATCTAGACAGAAGCATTCTTGGAAACGTCTTTGTGATGTTTGCATTCAACTCATAGAGTTGAACATTCCGTTTCAGAGAGCAGCTTTGAAGCACTCTTTTTGTAGTATGTGCAAGTGGATATTTGGAGCGCTCTGAGGCCTACGGTGAAAAAGCAAATATCTTCCCATAACCACTACACAGAAACATTCTCAGAAACTCCTTTATGACGTATGCACTCACCTAACAGAGAAGAACCTTCCTTTTGACAGACCACTTTTGATACACTCTTTTTGTAGAATCTGAAAGTGGATATTTGGATAGCTGTGAAGATTTCGTTGGAAACGGGAATATCTTCCTATAAAATCTAGACAGAAGCATTCTCAGAAACTGCTCTGTGATGTCTGCATTCAAGTCACAGAGTTCAACATTGCCTTTCATAGAGCAGGTTTGAAACGCTCTTTTTGTAGTATATGGAAGTGGATGTTTCGGACGGTTGGAGTCCCATGGTGATAAAGGGAATATCTTCCCCTACAAGCTAGAAAGAAGCATTCTGTGAAACTTGTTTGTGATGTGTGTACTCAACTAACAGAGTTGAACCTTTCTTTTCACAGAGCAGTTTTGAAACACTCTTTTTGTAGAATCTGCGAGCGGATATTTGGATAGATTTCAGGATTTCGTTGGAAACGGGAATATCTTCATATAAAATCTCGACAGAAGCATTCTCAGAAGCTTCGTTGTGATATGTGCATTCAAGTCACAGAGTTGAATATTCCCTTACACAGAGTAGGTTTGAAACACACTTTTTGTAGTATCTGGAAGTGGACTTTTGGAGCGCCTTGATGCCTACGGTGAAAAGGGAAATATCTTCTCATAAAAAGTAGACAGAAAGCAATCTCAGAAATCTTCTTTGGGATATATGCACGCAGCTAACAGAGTTGAACCTTTCTATTGACAGAGCAGTTTTGAAACAGTCTTTCTGTGGAATCTGCAAGTGGATATTTGGATAGCTTGGAGGATTTCGTTGGAAACGGGATTAAGTATAAAAAGTAGACAGCAGCATCCTCAGAAACATCCTTGTGATGTGTGCATTCAAGTCACAGAGTTGAACATTCCCTTTCCTACAGCAGTTTTGAAACACTCTTTCTGTAGTATCTGGAAGTGAACTTTAGGAGAGCTTTCAGGTCTATAGTGAGAAAGGATATATCTTCAAATAAAAGCTAGACAGAAGCATTCTGATAAACTTGTTTGTGAAGTGTGATCTCAGCTAACAGAGGTGGATCTTTCTTTTGATAGAGCAGTTCTGAAAAACACTTTGTTGAATCTGCAAGTGGACATTTGGATAGATTTGAAGATTTCTTTGGAAACGGGAATATCTTCATATCAAATCTAGACAGAAAGCATTCTCAGAAACGTCTTTGTCATGTTTGCATTCAACTCATAGAGTTGAACATTCCCTTTCAGAGAGCAGCTTTGAAACACTCTTTTTGTAGTATGTGCAAGTGGATATTTGGAGCGCTCTGAGGCCTACGGTGAAAAAGCAAATATCTTCCCATAACCACTAGACAGAAACATTCTCAGAAACTCCTTTATGACGTATGCACTCACCTAACAGAGAAGAACCTTCCTTTTGACAGAGCAGTTTTGATACACTCTTTTTGTAGAATCTGCAAGTGGATATTTGGATAGCTGTGAAGATTTCGTTGGAAACGGGAATATCTTCCTATAAAATCTATACAGAAGGATTCTCAGAAACTGCTCTGTGATGTCTGCATTCAAGTCACAGAGTTGAACATTGCCTTTCATAGAGCAGGTTTGAAACGCTCTTTTTGTAGTATATGGAAGTGGACTTTTCGGACGGTTTGAGGCCCATGGTGATAAAGGGAATATCTTCCCCTACAAGCTAGAAAGAAGCATTCTCTGAAACTTGTTTGTGATGTGTGTACTCAACTAACAGAGTTGAACCTTTCTTTTTACAGAGCACTTTTGAAACACTCTTTTTGTAGAATCTGCGAGGGGATATTTGGATAGATTTCAGGATTTCGTTGGAAACGGGAATATCTTCATATAAAATCTCGACAGAAGCATTCTCAGAAACTTCTTTGTGATATGTGTATTCAAGTCACAGAGTTGAATATTCGCTTTCATAGAGTAGGTTTGAAACACTCTTTTTGTAGTATCTGGAAGTGGATATTTGGAGCGCCTTGACGCCTACGGTGAAAAGGGAAATATCTTCCCATAAAAACTAGACAGAAGCAATCTCAGAATCTTCTTTGGGATATATGTACGCAGCTAATAGAGTTGAACCTTTCTATTGACAGAGCAGTTTTGAAACAGTCTTTCTGTGGAATCTGCAAGTGGATATTTGGATAGCTTGGAGGATTTCGTTGGAAACGGGATTACGGTATAAAAAGTAGACAGCAGCATCCTCAGAAACTTCCTTGTGATGTGTGCATTCAAGTCACAGAGTTGAACATTCCCTTTCGTACAGCATTTTTGAAACACTCTTTCTGTAGTATCTGGAAGTGAACTTTATGAGAGCTTTCAGGTCTATAGTGAGAAAGGATATATCTTCAAATAAAAACTAGACAGAAGCATTCTCATAAACTTGTTTGTGATGTGTGAACTCAGCTAACAGAGGTGGATCTTTCTTTTGATAGAGCAGTTCTGAAAAACACGTTTTGTTGAATCTGCAAGTGGACATTTGGATAGATTTGAAGATGTCATTGGAAACGGGAATATCTTCATATCAAATCTAGACAGAAGCATTCTCAGAAACGTCTTTGTGATGTTTGCATTCAACTCATAGAGTTGAACATTCCGTTTCAGAGACCAGCTTTGAAGCACTCTTTTTGTAGTATGTGCAAGTGGATATTTGGAGCGCTCTGAGGCCTACGGTGAAAAAGCAAATATCTTCCCATAACCACTAGACAGAAAACATTCTCAGTAAACTCCTTTATGACGTATGCACTCACCTAACAGAGGAAGAACCTTCCTTTTGACAGAGCAGTTTTGATACACTCTTTTTGTAGAATCTGCAAGTGGATATTTGGATAGCTGTGAATATTTCGTTGGAAACGGGAATATCTTCCTATAAAATCTAGACAGAAGCATTCTCAGAAACTACTCTGTGATGTCTGCATTCAAGTCACAGAGTTGAACATTGCCTTTCCTAGAGCAGGTTTGAAACGCTCTTTTTGTAGTATATGGAAGTGGACGTTTCGGACGGTTTGAGGACCATGGTGATAAAGGGAATATCTTCCCCTACAAGCTAGAAAGAAGCATTCTGTGAAACTTGTTTGTGAGGTGTGTACTCAACTAACAGAGTTGAACCTTTCTTTTTACAGAGCAGTTTTGAAACACTCTTTTTGTAGAATCTGCGAGGGGATATTTGGATAGATTTCAGGATTTCGTTGGAAAGGGGAATATCTTCATATAAAATTCTCGACAGAAGCATTCTCAGAAACTTCTTTGTGATATGTGCATTCAAGTCACAGAGTTGAATATTCCCTTTCACAGAGTAGGTTTGAAACACTCTTTTTGTAGTATCTGGAAGTGGACATTTGGAGCGCCTTGACAACTACGGTGAAAAGGGAAATATCTTCCCATAAAAACTAGACAGAAGCAATCTCAGAATCTTCTTTGGGATATATGCACGCAGCTAACAGAGTTGAACCTTTCTATTGACAGAGCAGTTTTGAAACAGTCTTTCTGTGGAATCTGCAAGTGGATATTTGGATAGCTTGGAGGATTTCGTTGGAAACGGGATTACGTATAAAAAGTAGCCAGCAGCATCCTCAGAAACTTCTTTGTGATGTGTGCATTCAAGTCACAGAGTTGAACATTCCCTTTCGTACAGCAGTTTTGAAACACTCTTTCTGTAGTATCTGGAAGTGAACATTAGGACAGCTTTCAGGTGTATGGTGAGAAAGGAAATATCTTCAAATAAAAACTAGACAGAAGCATTCTCATAAACTTGTTTGTGATGTGTGAACTCAGCTAACACACGTGGATCTTTCTTTTGATAGAGCAGTTCTGAAAAACACTTTTTGTTGAATCTGCAAGAGGACATTTGGATAGATTTGAAGATTTCGTTGGAAACGGGAATATCTTCATATCAAATCTAGACAGAAGCATTCTCAGAAACGTCGTTGTGATGTTTGCATTCAACTCATAGAGTTGAACATTCCCTTTCAGAGAGCAGCTTTGAAGCACTCTTTTTGTAGTATGTGCAAGTGGACATTTGGAGCGCTTTGAGGCGTACGGGGAAAAAGCAAATATCTTCCCATAACCACCAGACAGAAACATTCTCAGAAACTCCTTTATGACGTATGCACTCACCTAACAGAGAAGAACCTGCCTTTTGACAGAGCAGTTTTGATACACTCTTTTTGTAGAATCTGCAAGTGGATATTTGGATAGCTGTGAAGATTTCGTTGGAAACGGGAATATCTTCCTATAAAATCTAGACAGAAGCATTCTCAGAAACTGCTCTGTGATGTCTGCATTCAAGTCACAGAGTTGAACGTTGCCTTTCATAGAGCAGGTTTGAAACACTCTTTTTGTAGTATATGGAAGTGGACGTTTCGGACGGTTTGAGGCCCATGGTGATAAAGGGAATATCTTCCCCTACAAGCTAGAAAGAAGCATTCTGTGAAACTTGTTTGTGATGTGTGTACTCAACTAACAGAGTTGAACCTTTCTTTTTACAGAGCAGTTTTGAAACACTCTTTTTGTAGAATCTGCGAGGGGATATTTGGATAGATTTCAGGATTTCGTTGGAAAAGGGAATATCTTCATATAAAATCTCGACAGAAGCATTCTCAGAAACTTCTTTGTGATATGTGCATTCAAGTCACAGAGTTGAATATTCCCTTTCACAGAGTAGGTTTGAAACACTCTTTTTGTAGTATCTGGAAGTGGACATTTGGAGCGCGTTGACACCTATGGTGAAAAGGGAAATATCTTCCCATAAAAACTAGACAGAAGCAATCTCAGAATCTTCTTTGGGATATATGCACGCAGCTAACAGAGTTGAACCTTTCTATTGACAGAGCAGTTTTGAAACAGTCTTTCTGTGGAATCTGCAAGTGGATATTTGGATAGCTTGGAGGATTTCGTTAGAAACGGGATTACGTATAAAAAGTAGAAAGCAGCATCCTCAGAAACTTCTTTGTGATGTGTGCATTCAAGTCACAGAGTTGAACATTCCCTTTCGTACAGCAGTTTTGAAACACTCTTTCTGTAGTATCTGGAAGTGAACATTAGGAAAGCTTTCAGGTCTATGGTGAGAAAGGAAATATCTTCAAATAAAAACTAGACAGAAGCATTCTCATAAACTTGTTTGTGATGTGTGAACTCAGCTAACAGACGTGGATCTTTCTTTTGATACAGCAGTTTTGAAAAACACTTTTTGTTGAATCTGCAAGTGGACATTTGGATAGATTTGAAGATTTCGTTGGAACCGGGAATATCTTCATATCAAATCTAGACAGAAGCATTCTCAGAAACGTCTTTGTGATGTTTGCATTCAACTCATAGAGTTGAACATTCCCTTTCAGAGAGCAGCTTTGAAGCACTCTTTTTGTAGTATGTGCAAGGGGATATTTGGAGCGCTCTGAGGCCTACGGTGAAAAAGCAAATATCTTCCCATAACCACTAGACAGAAACATTCTCAGAAACTCCTTTATGACGTATGCACTCACCTAACAGAGAAGAACCTTCCTTTTGACAGAGCAGTTTTGATACACTCTTTTTGTAGAATCTGCAAGTGGATATTTGGATAGCTGTGAAGGTTTCTTTGGAAACGGAAATATCTTCCTATAAAATCTAGACAGAAGCATTCTCAAAACTGCTCTGTGATGTCTGCATTCAAGTCACAGAGTTGAACATTGCCTTTCATAGAGCAGGTTTGAAACGCTCTTTTTGTAGTATATGGAAGTAAACGTTTCGGACGGTTTGAGGCCCATGGTGATAAAGGGAATATCTTCCCCTACAAGCTAGAAAGAAGCATTCTGTGAAACTTGTTTGTGATGTGTGTACTCAACTAACAGAGTTGAACCTTTCTTTTTACAGGAGCAGTTTTGAAACACTCTTTTTGTAGAATCTGCGAGGGGATATTTGGATACATTTCAGGATTTCGTTGGAAACGGGAATATCTTCATATAAAATCTCGACAGAAGCATTCTCAGAAACTTCTTTGTGGTATGTGCATTCAAGTCACAGAGTTGAATATTCCCTTTCACAGAGTATGTTTGAAACACTCTTTTTGTAGTATCTGGAAGTGGACATTTGGAGCGCCTTGACGCCTACGGTGAAAAGGGAAATATCTTCCCATAAAAACTAGACAGAAGCAATCTCAGAATCTTCTTTGTGATATATGCACGCAGCTAACAGAGTTGAACCTTTCTATTGACTGAGCAGATTTGAAACAGTCTTTCTGTGGAATCTGCAAGTGGATATTTGGATAGATTGGAGGATTTCGTTGGAAACGGGATTACGTATAAAAAGTAGACAGCAGCATCCTCAGAAACTTCTTTGTGATGTGTGCATTCAAGTCACAGAGTTGAACATTCCCTTTCGTACAGCAGTTTTGAAACACTCTTTCTGTAGTATCTGGAAGTGAACATTAGGACAGCTTTCAGCTCTACGGTGAGAAAGGAAATATCTTCAAATAAAAACTAGACAGAAGCATTCTCATAAACTTGTTTGTGATGTGTGAACTCAGTTAACAGAGGTGGATCTTTCTTTTGATAGAGCAGTTCTGAAAAACACTTTTTGTTGAATCTGCAAGTGGACATTTGGATAGATTTCAAGATTTCGTTGGAAACGGGAATATCTTCATATCAAATCTAGACAGAAGCATTCTCAGAAACGTCTTTGTGATGTTAGCATTCAACTCATAGAGTTGAACATTCCCTTTCAGAGAGCAGCTTTGAAGCACTCTTTTTGTTGTATGTGCAAGTGGATATTTGGAGCGCTCTGAGGCCTATGGTGAAAAAGCAAATATCTTCCCATAACCACTAGACAGAAACATTCTCAGAAACTCCTTTATGACGTATGCACTCACCTAACAGAGAAGAACCTTCCTTTTGACAGAGCAGTTTTGATACACTCTTTTTGTAGAATATGCAAGTGGATATTTGGATAGCTGTGAAGATTTCGTTGGAAACGGGAATATCTTCCTATAAATTCTAGACAGAAGCATTCTCAGAAACTGCTCTGTGATGTCTGCATTCAAGTCACAGAGTTGAACATTGCCTTTCATAGAGCAGGTTTGAAACGCTCTTTTTGTAGTATATGGAAGTGGATGTTTCTGACGGTTGGAGGCCCATGGTGATAAAGGGAATATCTTCCCCTACAAGCTAGAAAGAAGCATTCTGTGAAACTTGTTTGTGATGTGTGTACTCAACTAACAGAGTTGAACCTTTCTTTTCACAGAACAGTTTTGAAACACTCTTTTTGTAGAATCTGCGAGCGGATATTTGGATAGATTTCAGGATTTCGTTGGAAACGGGAATATCTTCATATAAAATCTCGACAGAAGCATTCTCAGAAACTTCTTTGTGATATCTCCATTCAAGTCACAGAGTTGAATATTCCCTTTCACAGAGTAGGATTGAAACACTCTTTTTGTAGTATCTGGAAGTGGACATTTGGAGCGCCTTGACACCTATGGTGAAAAGGGAAATATCTTCCCATAAAAACTAGACAGAAGCAATCTCAGAATCTTCTTTGGGATATATGCACGCAGCTAACAGAGTTGAACCTTTCTATTGACAGACCAGTTTTGAAACAGTCTTTCTGTGGAATCTGCAAGTGGATATTTGGATAGCTTGGAGGATTTCGTTGGAAACGGGATTACGTATAAAAAGTAGACAGCAGCATCCTCAGAAACTTCTTTGTGATGTGTGCATTCAAGTCACAGAGTTGAACATTCCCTTTCGTACAGCAGTTTTGAAACACTCTTTCTGTAGTATCTGGAAGTGAATATTAGGACAGCTTTCACGTCTATATTGAGAAAGGAAATATCTTCAAATAAAAACTAGACAGAAGCATTCTCATAAACTTGTTTGTGATGTGTGAACTCAGCTAACAGAGTTGGATCTTTCTTTTGATAGAGCAGTTCTGAAAAACACTTTTTGTTGAATCTGCAAGTGGACATTTGGATAGATTTGAAGATTTCGTTGGAAACGGGAATATCTTCATATCAAATCTAGACAGAAGCATTCTCAGAAACGTCTTTGCGATGTTTGCATTCAACTCATAGAGTTGAACATTCCGTTTCAGAGAGCAGCCTTGAGGCACTCTTTTTGTAGTATGTGCAAGTGGATATTTGGAGCGCTCCTGAGGCCTACGGTGAAAAAGCAAATATCTTCCCATAACCACTAGACAGAAACATTCTCAGAAACTCCTTTATGACGTATGCACTCACCTAACAGAGAAGAACCTTCCTTTTGACAGAGCAGTTTTGATACACTCTTTTTGTAGAATCTGCAAGTGGATATTTGGATAGCTGTGAAGATTTTGTTGGAAACGGGAATATCTTCCTATAAAATCTAGACAGAAGCATTCTCAGAAACTGCTCTGTGATGTCTGCATTCAAGTCACAGAGCTGAACATTGCCTTTCATAGAGAAGGTTTGAAACGCTCTTTTTGTAGTATATGGAAGTGGACGTTTCGGACAGTTTGAGGCCCATGGTGATAAAGGGAATATCTTCCCCTACAAGCTAGAAAGAAGCATTCTGTGAAACTTGTTTGTGATGTGTGTACTCAACTAACAGAGTTGAACCTTTCTTTTTACAGAGCAGTATTGAAACACTCTTTTTGAAGAATCTGCGAGGGGATATTTGAATAGATTTCAGGATTTCGTTGGAAACGGGAATATCTTCATATAAAATCTCGACAGAAGCATTCTCAGAAACTTCTTTGTGATATGTGCATTCAAGTCACAGAGTTGAATATTCCCTTTCACAGAGTAGGTTTGAAACACTCTTTTTGTAGTATCTGGAAGTGGACATTTGGAGCGCCTTGACGCCTAGGGTGAAAAGGGAAATATCTTCCCATAAAAACTAGACAGAAGCAATCTCAGAATCTTCTTTGGGATATATGCACGCAGCTAACAGAGTTGAACCTTTCTATTGACAGAGCAGTTTTGAAACAGTCTTTCTGTGGAATCTGCAAGTGGATATTTGGATAGCTTGGAGGATTTTTTTGGAAACGGGATTACGTATAAAAAGTAGACAGCAGCATCCTCAGAAACTTCTTTGTGATGTGTGCATTCAAGTCACAGAGTTGAACATTCCCTTTCGTACAGCAGTTTTGAAACACTCTTTCTGTAGTATCTGGAAGTGAACATTAGGACAGCTTTCAGGTCTATGGTAAGAAAGGAAATATCTTCAAATAAAAACTAGACAGAAGCATTCTCATAAACTTGTTTGTGATGTGTGAACTCAGCTAACAACGGTGGATCTTTCTTTTGATAGAGCAGTTCTGAAAAACACTTTTTGTTGAATCTGCAAGTGGACATTTGGATAGTTTTGAAGATTTCGTTGGAAACGGGAATATCTTCATATCAAATCTAGACAGAAGCATTCTCAGAAACGTCTTTGTGATGTTTGCATTCAACTCATAGAGTTGAACATTCCATTTCAGAGAGCAGCTTTGAGGCACTCTTTTTGTAGTATGTGCAAGTGGATATTTGGAGTGCTCTGAGGCCTACGGTGAAAAAGCAAATATCTTCCCATAACCACTAGACAGAAACATTCTCAGAAACTCCTTTATGACGTATGCACTCACCTAACAGAGAAGAACCTTCCTTTTGACAGAGCAGTTTTGATACACTCTTTTTGTAGAATCTGCAAGTGGATATTTTGATACCTGTGAAGATTTCGTTGGAAACGGGAATATCTTCCTATAAAATGCTAGACAGAAGCATTCTCAGAAACTGCTCTGTGATGTCTGCATTCAAGTCACAGAGTTGAACATTGCTTTTCATAGAGCAGGTTTGAAACGCTCTTTTTGTAGTATATGGAAGTGGATGTTTCGGACGGTTGGAGGCCCATGGTGATAAAGGGAATATCTTCCCCTACAAGCTAGAAAGAAGCATTCTGTGAAACTTGTTTGTGATGTGTGTACTCAACTAAGAAGGTTGAACCTTTCTTTTTACAGAGCAGTTTTGAAACACTCTTTTTGTAGAATCTGCGAGGGGATATTTGGATAGATTTCAGGATTTCGTTGGAAACGGGAATATCTTCATATAAAATCTCGACAGAAGCATTCTCAGAAACTTCTTTGTGATATCTGCATTCAAGTCACAGAGTTGAATATTCCCTTTCACAGAGTAGGTTTGAAACACTCTTTTTGTAGTATCTGGAAGTGGACATTTGGAGCGCCTTGACACCTACGGTGAAAAGGGAAATATCTTCCCATAAAAACTAGACAGAAGCAATCTCAGAATCTTCTTTGGGATATATGCACGCAGCTAACAGAGTTGAACCTTTCTTATTGACAGAGCAGTTTTGAAACAGTCTTTCTGTGGAATCTGCAAGTGGATATTTGGATAGCTTGGAGGATTTCGTTGGAAACGGGATTACGTATAAAAAGTAGACAGCAGCATCCTCAGAAACTTCTTTGTGATGTGTGCATTCAAGTCACAGAGTTGAACATTCCCTTTCGTACAGCAGTTTTCAAACACTCTTTCTGTAGTAACTGGAAGTGAACATTAGGACAGCTTTCAGGTCTATGGTGAGAAAGGAAATATCTTCAAATAAAAACTAGACAAAAGCATTCTCATAAACTTGTTTGTGATGTGTGAACTCAGCTAACAGAGGTGGATCTTTCTTTTGATAGAGCAGTTCTGAAAAACACTTTTTGTTGAATCTGCAAGTGGACATTTGGATAGATTTGAAGATTTCGTTGGAAACTGGAATATCTTCATATCAAATTTTGACAGAAGCATTCTCAGAAACGTCTTTGGGATGTTTGCATTCAACTCATAGAGTTGAACATTCCGTTTCAGAGAGCAGCTTTGAGGCACACTTTTTGTAGTATGTGCAAGTGGATATTTGGAGCGCTCTGAGGCCTACGGTGAAAAAGCAAATATCTTCCCATAACCACTAGACAGAAACATTCTCAGAAACTCCTTTATGACGTATGCACTCACCTAACATAGAAGAACCTTCCTTTTGACAGAGCAGTTTTGATACACTCTTTTTGTAGAATCTGCAAGTGGATATTTGGATAGCTGTGAAGATTTCGTTGGAAACAGGAATATCTTCCTATAAAATCTAGACAGAAGCATTCTCAGAAACTGCTCTGTGATGTCTGCATTCAAGTCACAGAGTTGAACATTGCCTTTCATAGAGCAGGTTTGAAATGCTCTTTTTGTAGTATATGGAAGTGGACGTTTCAGACGGTTTGAGGCCCATGGTGATAAAGGGAATATCTTCCCCTACAAGCTAGAAAGAAGCATTCTGTGAAACTTGTTTGTGATGTGTGTACTCAACTAACAGAGTTGAACCTTTCTTTTTACAGAGCAGTTTTGAAACACTCTTTTTGTAGAATCTGCGAGGGCATATTTGGATAGATTTCAGGATTTCGTTGGAAAGGGGAATATCTTCATATAAAATCTCGACAGAAGCATTCTCAGAAACTTCTTTGTGATATCTGCCTTCAAGTCACAGAGTTGAATATTCCCTTTCACACAGTAGGTTTGAAACACTCTTTTTGTAGTATCTGGAAGTGGACATTTGGAGCGCCTTGACGCCTACGGTGAAAAGGGAAATATCTTCCCATAAAAACTAGACAGAAGCAATCTCAGAATTTTCTTTGGGATATATGCACACAGCTAACAGAGTTGAACTTTTCTATTGACATAGCAGTTTTGAAACAGTCTTTCTGTGGAATCTGCAAGTGGATATTTGGATAGCTTGGAGGATTTCGTTGGAAACAGGATTACGTATAAAAAGTAGACAGCAGCATCCTCAGAAACTTCTTTGTGATGTGTGCATTCAAGTCACAGAGTTGAACATTCCCTTTCGTACAGCAGTTTTGAAATACTCTTTCTGTAGTAACTGGAAGTGAACATTAGGACAGCTTTCAGGTCTATGGTGAGAAAGGAAATATCTTCAAATAAAAACTAGACAGAAGCATTCTCATAAACTTGTTTGTGATGTGTGAACTCAGCTAACAGAGGTGGATCTTTCCTTTGATAGAGCAGTTCTGAAAAACACTTTTTGTTGAATCTGCAAGTGGACATTTGGATAGATTTGAAGATTTCGTTGGAAACGGGAATATCTTCATATCAAATCTAGACAGAAGCATTCTCAGAAACGTCTTTGTGATGTTTGCATTCAACTCACAGAGTTGAACATTCCCTTTCAGAGCGCAGCTTTGAAGCACTCTTTTTGTAGTATGTGCAAGGGGATATTTGGAGCGCTCTGAGGCCTACGGTGAAAAAGCAAATATCTTCCCATAACCACTAGACAGAAACATTCTCAGAAACTCCTTTATGACGTATGTACTCAACTAACAGAGAAGAACCCTCTTTTTGACAGAGCAGTTTTGATACACTCTTTTTGTAGAATCTGCAAGTGGATATTTGGATAGCTGTGAAGATTTCGTTGGAAACGGGAATATCTTCCTATAAAATCTAGACAGAAGCATTCTCAGAAACTGCTCTGTGATGTCTGCATTCAAGTCACAGAGTTGAACATTGCCTTTCATAGAGCAGGTTTGAAACGCTCTTTTTGTACTATATGGAAGAGGACGTTTCGAACGGTTTGAGGACCATGGTGATAAAGGGAATATCTTCCCCTACAAGCTAGAAAGAAGCATTCTGTGAAACTTGTTTGTGATGTGTGTACTCAACTAACAGAGTTGAACCTTTCTTTTCACAGAGCAGTTTTGAAACACTCTTTTTGTAGAATCTGCGAGGGGATATTTGGATACATTTCAGGATTTCGTTGGAAACGGGAATATCTTCATATAAAATCTCGACAGAAGCATTCTCAGAAACTTCTTTGTGATATCTGCATTACAGTCACAGAGTTGAATATTCCCTTTCACAGAGGAGGTTTGAAACACTCTTTTTATACTATCTGGAATTGGACATTGGAGCGCCTTGACGCCTACGGTGAAAAGGGAAATATCTTCCCATAAAAACTAGACAGAAGCAATCTCAGAATCTTCTTTGGGATATATGCACGCAGCTAACATAGTTGAACCTTTCTATTGACAGAACAGTTTTGAAACAGTGTTTCTGTGGAATCTGCAAGTGGATATTTGGATAGCTTGGAGGATTTCGTTGGAAACGGGATTACGTATAAAAAGTAGACAGCAGCATCCTCAGAAACTTCTTTGTGATGTGTGCATTCAAGTCACAGAGTTGAACATTCCCTTTCGTACAGCAGTTTTGAAACACTCTTTCTGTAGTATCTGGAAGTGAACATTAGGACAGCTTTCACTCTATGGTGAGAAGGGAAATATCTTCAAATAAAAACTAGACAGAAGCATTCTCAAAAACTTGTTTGTGAAGTGTGAACTCAGGTAACAGAGGTGGATCTTTATTTTGATAGAGCAGTTCTGAAAAACACTTTTTGTTGAATCTGCAAGTGGACATTTGGATAGATTTGAAGATTTCGTTGGAAACGGGAATATCTTCATATCAAATCTAGACAGAAGCATTCTCAGTAAACGTCTTTGTGATGTTTGCATTCAACTCATAGAGTTGAACATTCCGTTTCAGAGAGCAGCTTTGAAGCACTCTTTTTGTAGTATGTTCAAGTGGATATTTGGAGCGCTCTGAGGCCTACGGTGAAAAAGCAAATATCTTCCCATAACCACTAGACAGAAACATTCTCAGAAACTCCTTTATGATGTATGCACTCACCTAACAGAGAAGAACCTTCCTTTTGACAGAGTAGTTTTGATACACTCTTTTTGTAGAATCTGCAAGTGGATATTTGGATAGCTGTGAAGATTTCGTTGGAAACAGGGAATATCTTCCTATAAAATCTAGACAGAAGCATTCTCAGAAACTGCTCTGTGATGTCTGCATTCAAGTCACAGAGTTGAACATTGCCTTTCATAGAGCAGGTTTGAAACGCTCTTTTTGTACTATATGGAAGTGGACGTTTCGGACGGTTTGAGGCCCATGGTGATAAAGGGAATATCTTCCCCTACAAGCTAGAAAGAAGCATTCTGTGAAACTTGTTTGTGAAGTGTGTACTCAACTAACAGAGTTGAACCTTTCTTTTTACAGAGCAGTTTTGAAACACTCTTTTTGTAGAATCTGCGAGGGGATATTTGGATAGATTTCAGGATTTCGTTGGAAACGGGAATATCTTCATATAAAATCTCGACAGAAGCATTCTCAGAAACTTCTTTGTGATATGTGCATTCAAGTCACAAAGTTGAATATTCCCTTTCACAGAGTAGGTTTGAAACACTCTTTTTGTAGTATCTGGAAGTGGACATTTGGAGCGCCTTGACGCCTACGGTGAAAAGGGAAATATCTTCCCATAAAAACTAGACAGAAGCAATCTCAGAATCTTCTTTGGGATATATGCACGCAGCTAACAGAGTTGAACCTTTCTATAGACACAGCAGTTTTGAAACAGTCTTTCTGTGGAATCTGCAAGTGGATATTTGGATAGATTGGAGGATTTCGTTGGAAACGGGATTACGTATAAAAAGTAGACAGCAGCATCCTCAGAAACTTCTTTGTGATGTGTGCATTCAAGTCACAGAGTTGAACATTCCCTTTCGTACAGCAGTTTTGAAACACTCTTTCTGTAGTATCTGGAAGTGAACATTAGGACAGCTTACAGGTCTATGGTGAGAAAGGGAATATCTTCAAATAAAAACTAGACAGAAGCATTCTCATAAACTTGTTTGTGATGTGTGAGCTCAGCTAACAGAGGTGGATCTTTCTTTTGATAGAGCAGTTCTGAAAAACACATTTTGTTGAATCTGCAAATGGACATTTGTATAGATTTGAAGATTTCGTTGGAAACGGGAATATCTTCATATCAAATCTAGACAGAGGCATTCTCAGAAACGTCTTTGTGATGTTTGCATTCAACTCATAGAGTTGAACATTCCCTTTCAGAGAGCAGCTTTGAAGCACTCTTTTTGTAGTATGTGCAAGGGGATATTTGGAGCGCTCTGAGGCCTAAGGTGAAAAAGCAAATATCTTCCCATAACCACTAGACAGAAACATTTTCAGAAACTCCTTTATGACGTATGTACTCAACTAACAGAGAAGAACCTTCCTTTTGACAGAGCAGTTTTGATACACTCTTTTTGTAGGATCTGCAAGTGGATATTTGGATAGCTGTGAAGATTTCGTTGGAAACGGGAATATCTTCCTATAAAATCTAGACAGAAGCATTCTCCGAAACTGCTCTGTGATGTCTGCATTCAAGTCACAGAGTTGAACATTGCCTTTCATAGAGCAGGTTTGAAACGCTCTTTTTGTAGTATATGGAAGTGGACATTTCGGACGGTTTGAGGCCCATGGTGATAAAGGGAATATCTTCCCCTACAAGCTAGAAAGAAACATTCTCAGAAACTCCTTTATGACGTATGCACTCACCTAACAGAGAAGAACCTACCTTTTGACAGAGCAGTTTTCATACACTCTTTTTGTAGAATCTGCGAGGGGATATTTGGAGAGATTTCAGGATTTCGTTGGAAACGGGAATATCTTCATATAAAATCTCGACAGAAGCATTCTCAGAAACTTCTTTGTGATATCTGCATTCAAGTCACAGAGTTGAATATTCCCTTTCACAGAGTAGGTTTGAAACACTCTTTTTGTAGTATCTGGAAGTGGACATTTGGAGCGACTTGACGCCTACGGTGAAAAGGGAAATATCTTCCCATAAAAACTAGACAGAAGCAATCTCAGAATCTTCCTTGGGATATCTGCACGCAGCTAACAGAGTTGAACCTTTCTATTGACAGAGCAGTTTTGAAACAGTCTTTCTGTGGAATCTGCAAGTGGATATTTGGATAGATTGGAGGATTTCGTTGGAAACGGGATTACGTATAAAAAGTAGACAGCAGCATCCTCAGAAACTTCTTTGTGATGTGTGCATTCAAGTCACAGAGTTGAACATTCCCTTTCGTACAGCAGTTTTGAAACACTCTTTCTGTAGTAACTGGAAGTGAACATTAGGACAGCTTTCAGCTCTATGGTGAGAAAGGAAATATCTTCAAATAAAAACTAGACAGAAGCATTCTCATAAACTTGTTTGTGATGTGTGAACTCAGCTAACAGAGGTGGATCTTTCTTTTGATAGAGCAGTTCTGAAAAACACTTTTTGTTGAATCTGCAAGTGGACATTCGGATAGATTTGAAGATTTCGTTGGAAACGGGAATATCTTCATATCAAATCTAGACAGAAGCATTCTCAGAAACGTCTTTGTGATGTTTGCATTCAACTCATAGAGTTGAACATTCCCTTTCAGAGAGAAGCTTTGAAGCACTCTTTTTGTAGCATGTGCAAGTGGACATTTGGAGCGCCCTGAGGCCTACGGGGAAAAAGCAAATATCTTCCCATAACCACTAGACAGAAACATTCTCAGAAACTCCTTTATGACGTATGCACTCACCTAACAGAGAAGAACCTTTCTTTTGACTGAGCAGTTTTGATACACTCTTTTTGTAGAATCTGCAAGTGGATATTTGGATAGCTGTGAAGATTTCGTTGGAAACGGGAATATCTTCCTATAAAATCTAGACAGAAGCATTCTCAGAAACTGCTCTGTGATGTCTGCATTCAAGTCACAGAGTTGAACATTGCCTTTCATAGAGCAGGTTTGAAACGCTCTTTTTGTAGTATATGGAAGTGGATGTTTCGGACGGTTGGAGGCCCATGGTGATAAAGGGAAAATCTTCCCCTACAAGCTAGAAAGAAGCATTCTGTGAAACTTGTTTGTGATGTGTGTACTCAACTAACAGAGTTGAACCTTTCTTTTTACAGAGCAGTTTTGAAACACTCTTTTTGTAGAATCTGCGAGGGGATATTTGGATAGATTTCAGGATTTCGTTGGAAACGGGAATATCTATCATATAAAATCTCGACAGAAGCATTCTCAGAAACTTCTTTGTGATATGTGCATTAAAGTCACAGAGTTGAATATTCGCTTTCACAGAGTAGGTTTGAAACACTCTTTTTGTAGTATCTGGAAGTGGACATTTGGAGCGCCTTGACGCCTACGGTGAAAAGGGAAATATCTTCCCATAAAAACTAGACAGAAGCAATCTCAGAATCTTCTTTGGGATATATGCACGCAGCTAACAGAGTTGAACCTTTCTATTGACAGAGCAGTTTTGAAACACTCTTTCTGTGGAATCTGCAAGTGGATACTTGGATAGCTTGGAGGATTTCATTGGAAACGGGATTACGTATAAAAAGTAGACAGCAGCATCCTCAGAAACTTCTTTGTGATGTGTGCATTGAAGTCACAGAGTTGAACATTCCCTTTCGTACAGCAGTTTTGAAACACTCTTTCTTTAGTATCTGGAAGTGAACAATAGGACAGCTTTCAGGTCTATGGTGAGAAAGGAAATATCTTCAAATAAAAACTAGACAGAAGCATTCTCATAAACTTGTTTGTGATGTGTGAACTCAGCTAACGGACGTGGATCTTTCTTTTGATACAGCAGTTTTGAAAAACACTTTTTGTTGAATCTGCAAGTGGACATTTGGATAGATATGAAGATTTCGTTGGAAACGGGAATATCTTCATATCAAATCTAGACAGAAGCATTCTCAGAAACGTCTTTGCGATGTTTGCATTCAACTCATAGAGTTGAACATTCCCTTTGAGAGAGCAGCTTTGAAGCACTCTTTTTGTAGCATGTGCAAGTGGACATGTGGAGCGCCCTGAGGCCTACGGGGAAAAAGCAAATATCTTCCCATAACCACTAGACAGAAACATTCTCAGAAACTCCTTTATGACGTATGCACTCACCTAACAGAGAAGAACCTTCCTTTTGACAGAGCAGTTTTGATACACTCTTTTTGTAGAATCTGCAAGTGGATATTTGGGATAGCTGTGAAGATTTCGTTGGAAACGGGAATATCTTCCTATAAAATCTAGACAGAAGCATTCTCAGAAACTGCTCTGTGATGTCTGCATTCAAGTCACAGAGTTGAACATTGCCTTTCATAGAGCAGGTTTGAAATGCTCTTTTTGTAGTATCTGGAAGTGGACGTTTCAGACGGTTTGAGGCCGATGGTGATAAAGGGAATATCTTCCCCTACAAGCTAGAAAGAAGCATTCTGTGAAACTTGTTTGTGATGTGTGTACTCAACTAACAGAGTTGACCCTTTCTTTTCACAGAGCAGTTTTGAAACACTCTTTTTGTAGAATCTGCGAGGGGATATTTGGATAGATTTCAGGATTTCGTTGGAAACGGGAATATCTTCATATAAAATCTCGACAGAAGCATTCTCAGAAACTTCTTTGTGATATGTGCATTCAAGTCACAGAGTTGAATATTCCCTTTCACAGAGTAGGTTTGAAACACTCTTTTTGTAGTATCTGGAAGTGGACATTTGGAGCGCCTTGACGCCTACGGTGAAAAGGGAAATATCTTCACATAAAAACTAGACAGAAGCAATCTCAGAATCTTCTTTGGGATATATGCACGCAGCTAACAGAGTTGAACCTTTCTATTGACAGAGTAGTTTTGAAACAGTCCTTCTGTGGAATCTGCAAGTGGATATTTGGATAGCTTGGAGGATTTCGTTGGAAACGGGATTACGTATAAAAAGTAGACAGCAGCATCCTCAGAAACTCCTTTGTGATGTGTGCATTCAAGTCACAGAGTTGAACATTCCCTTTCGTACAGCAGTTTTGAAACACTCTTTCTGTAGTATCTGGAAGTGAACATTAGGACAGCTTTCAGGTCTATGGTGAGAAAGGAAATATCTTCAAATAAAAACTAGACGGAAGCATTCTCATAAACTTGTTTGTGATGTGTGAACTCAGCTAAGAGACGTGGATCTTTCTTTTGATAGAGCAGTTCTGAAAAACACTTTTTGTTGAATCTGCAAGTGGACATTTGGATAGATTTGAAGATTTCTTTGGAAACGGGAATATCTTCATATCAAATCTAGACAGAAGCATTCTCAGAAACGTCTTTGCGATGTTTGCATTCAACTCATAGAGTTGAACATTCCCTTTCAGAGAGCAGCTTTGAGGCACTCTTTTTGTAGTATGTGCAAGTGGATATTTGGAGCGCTCTGAGGCCTACGGTGAAAATGCAAATATCTTCCCATAACCACTAGACAGAAACATTCTGAGAAACTCCTTTATGACGTATGCACTCACCTAACAGAGAAGAACCTTCCTTTTGACAGAGCAGTTTTGATACACTCTTTTTGTAGAATCTGCAAGTGGATATTTGGATAGCTGTGAAGATTTCGTTGGAAACGGGAATATCTTCCTATAAAATCTAGACAGAAGCATTCTCAGAAACTGCTCTGTGATGTCTGCATTCAAGTCACAGAGTTGAACATTGCCTTTCATAGAGCAGGTTTGAAACGCTCTTTTTGTAGTATATGGAAGTGGACTTTTCGGACGGTTTGAGGCCCATGGTGATAAAGGGAATATCTTCCCCTACAAGCTAGAAAGAAGAAGCATTCTGTGAAACTTGTTTGTGATGTGTGTACTCAACTAACAGAGTTGAACCTTTCTTTTCACAGAGCAGTTTTGAAACACTCTTTTTGTAGAATCTGCGAGGGGATATTTGGATAGATTTCAGGATTTCGTTGGAAACGGGAATATCTTCATACAAAATCTCGACAGAAGCATTCTCAGAAACTTCATTGTGATATCTGCATTCAAGTCACAGAGCGGAATATTCCCTTTCACAGAGTAGGTTTGAAACACTCTTTTTGTAGTATCTGGAAGTGGACATTTGGAGCGCCTTGACACCTATGGTGAAAAGGGAAATATCTTCCCGTAAAAACTAGACAGAAGCAATCTCAGAATCTTCTTTGGGATATATGCACGCAGCTAACAGAGTTGAACCTTTCTATTGACAGAGCAGTTTTGAAACAGTCTTTCTGTAGAATCTGCAAGTGGATATTTGGATAGCTTGGAGGATTTCGTTGGAAACGGGATTACGTATAAAAAGTAGACAGCAGCATCCTCAGAAACTTCTTTGTGATGTGTGCATTCAAGTCACAGAGTTGAACATTCCCTTTCGTACATCAGTTTTGAAACGCTCTTTCTGTAGTATCTGGAAGTGAACATTAGGACAGCTTTCAGGTCTATGGTGAGAAAGGAAATATCTTCAAATAAAAACTAGACAGAAGCATTCTCATAAACTTGTTTGTGATGTGTGAACTCAGCTAACAGACGTGGATCTTTCTTTTGATACAGCAGTTTTGAAAAACACTTTTTGTTGAAATCTGCAAGTGGACATTTGGATAGATTTGAAGATTTCGTTGGAAACGGGAATATCTTCATATCAAATCTAGACAGAAGCATTCTCAGAAACGTCTTTGTGATGTTTGCATTCAACTCATAGAGTTGAACATTCCCTTTCAGAGAGCAGCTTTGAAGCACTCTTTTTGTAGCATGTGCAAGTGGACATTTGGAGCGCCCTGAGGCATACGGGGAAAAAGCAAATATCTTCCCATAACCACTAGACAGAAACATTCTCAGAAACTCCTTTATGACGTATGCACTCACCTAACAGAAAAGAACCTTCCTTTTGACAGAGCAGTTTTGATACACTCTTTTTGTAGAATCTGAAAGTGGATATTTGGAGCGCTCTGAGGCCTACGGTGAAAAAGCAAATATCTTCCCATAACCACTAGACAGAAGCATTCTCAGAAACTGCTCTGTGATGTCTGCATTCAAGTCACACAGTTGAACATTGCCTTTCATGGAGCAGGTTTGAAACGCTCTTTTTGTAGTATATGGAAGTGGACGTTTCGGACGGTTTGAGGCCCATGGTGATAAAGGGAATATCTTCCCCTACAAGCTAGAAAGAAGCATTCTGTGAAACTTGTTTGTGATGTGTGTACTCAACTAACAGAGTTGAACCTTTCTTTTTACAGAGTAGTTTTGAAACACTCTTTTTGTAGAATCTGCGAGGGGATATTTGGAAACATTTCAGCATTTCGTTGGAAACGGGAATATCTTCATATAAAATCTCGACAGAAGCATTCTCAGAAACTTCCTTGTGATATGTGCATTCAAGTCACAGAGTTGAATATTCCCTTTCACAGAGTAGGTTTGAAACACTCTTTTTGTAGTATCTGGAAGTGGACATTTGGAGCGCCTTGACGCCTACGGTGAAAAGGGAAATATCTTCCCATAAAAACTAGACAGAAGCAATCTCAGAATCTTCTTTGGGATTTATGCACGCCGCTAACAGAGTTGAACCTTTCTATTGACAGAGCAGTTTTGAAACAGTCTTTCTGTGGAATCTGCAAGTGGATATTTGGATAGCTTGGAGGATTTCGTTGGAAACGGGATTACGTATAAAAAGTAGACAGCAGCATCCTCAGAAACTTCTTTGTGATGTGTGCATTCAAGTCACAGAGTTGAACATTCCCTTTCGTACAGCAGTTTTGAAACACTCTTTCTGTAGTATCTGGAAGTGAACATTAGGACAGCTTTCAGGTCTATGGTGAGAAAGGAAATATCTTCAAATAAAAACTAGACGGAAGCATTCTCATAAACTTGTTTGTGATGTGTGAACTCAGCTAACAGAGGTGGATCTTTCTTTTGATAGAGCAGTTCTGAAAAACACATTTTGTTGAATCTGCAAGTGGACATTTGGATAGATTTGAAGATTTCGTTGGAAACGGGAATATCTTCATATCAAATCTAGACAGAAGCATTCCCAGAAACGTCTTTGTGATGTTTGCATTCAACTCATAGAGTTGAACATTCCCTTTCAGAGAGCAGCTTTGAAGCACTCTTTTTGTAGGATTTGTAAAGGGATATTTGGAGCGCTCTGAGGCCTAAGGTGAAAAAGCAAATATCTTCCCATAACCACTAGACAGAAACATTCTCAGAAACTCGTTTATGACGTATGCACTCACCTAACAGAGAAGAACCTTCCATTTGACAGAGCAGTTTTGATACACTCTTTTTGTAGAATCTGCAAGTGGATATTTGGATAGCTGTGAAGATTTTGCTGGAAACGGGAATATCTTCCTATAAAATCTAGACAGAAGCATTCTCAGAAACTGCTCTGTGATGTCTGCATTCAAGTCACAGAGTTGAACATTGCCTTTCCTAGAGCAGGTTTGAAACGCTCTTTTTGTAGTATATGGAAGTAGACGTTTCGGACGGTTTGAGGCCCATGGTGATAAAGGGAATATCTTCCCCTACAAGCTAGAAAGAAGCATTCTGTGAAACTTGTTTGTGATGTGTGTACTCAACTAATAGAGTTGAACCATTCTTTTTACAGAGCAGTTTTGAAACACTCTTTTTGTAGAATCTGCGAGGGGATATTTGGATAGATTTCAGGATTTCGTTGGAAACGGGAATATCTTCATATAAAATCTCGACAGAAGCATTCTCCGAAACCTCTTTGTGATATATGCATTGAAGTTACAGAGTTGAATATTCCCTTTCACATAGCAGGTTTGAAACACTCTTTTTGTAGTATCTGGAAGTGGACATTGGGAGCGCTTTGACGTCTATGGTGAAAAAGGAAATATCTTCCCATAAAAACTACACAGAGGCAATCTCAGAATCTTCTTTGGGATGTATGCATGCAGCTAACAGAGTTGAACCTTTCTATTGACAGAGCAGTTTTGAAACAGTCTTTTTGTGGAATCTGCAAGTGGATATTTGGATAGCTTGGAGGATTTCATTGGAAACGGGATTACATATAAAAAGTAGACAGCAGCATCCTCAGAAACTTCTTTGTGATGTGTGCATTCAAGTCACAGAGTTGAACATTCCCTTTCGTACAGCAGTTTTGAAACACTCTTTCTGTAGTATCTGGAAGTGAACATTAGGACAGCTTTCAGCTCTATGGTGAGAAAGGAAATATCTTCAAATAAAAACTAGACAGGAAGCATTCTCATAAACTTGTTTGTGATGTCTGAACTCAGCTAACAGAGGTGGATCTTTCTTTTGATAGAGCAGTTCTGAAAAACACTTTTTGTTGAATCTGCAAGTGGACATTTGGATAGATTTGAAGATTTAGTTGGAAACGGGAATATCTTCATATCAAATCTAGACAGAAGCATTCTCAGAAACGTCTTTGCGATGTTTGCATTCAACTCATAGAGTTGAACATTCCGTTTCAGAGAGCAGCTTTGAGGCACTCTTTTTGTAGTATGTGCAAGTGGATATTTGGAGCGCTCTGAGGCCTACGGTGAAAAAGCAAATATCTTCCCATAACCACTAGACAGAAACATTCTCAGAAACTCCTTTATGACGTATGCACTCACCTAAGAGAGAAGAACCTTCCTTTTGACAGAGCAGTTTTGATACACTCTTTTTGTAGAATCTGCAAGTGGATATTTGGATAGCTGTGAAGATTTCGTTGGAAACGGGAATATCTTCCTATAAAATCTACACAGAAGCATTCTCAGTAACTGCTCTGTGATGTCTGCATTCAAGTCACAGAGTTGAACATTGCCTTTCATAGAGCAGGTTTGAAACGCTCTTTTTGTAGTATATGGAAGTGGATGTTTCGGACGGTTGGAGGCCCATGGTGATAAAGGGAATATCTTCCCCTACAAGCTAGAAAGAAGCATTCTGTGAAACTTGTTTGTGATGTGTGTACTCAAATAACAGAGTTGAACCTTTCTTTTTACAGAGCAGTTTTGAAACATTCTTTTTGTAGAATCTGCGAGGGGATATTTGGATAGATTTCAGGATTTCGTTGGAAACGGGAATATCTTCATATAAAATCTCGACAGAAGCATTCTCAGAAACTTCTTTGTGATATGTGCATTCGAGTCACAGAGTTGAATATTCCCTTTCACAGAGTAGGTTTGAAACACTCTTTTTGTAGTATCTGGAAGTGGACATTTGGAGCGCCTTGACACCTACGGTGAAAAGGGAAATATCTTCCCATAAAAACTAGACAGAAGCAATCTCAGAATCTTCTTTGGGATATATGCACGCAGCTAACAGAGTTAAACCTTTCTATTGACAGAGCAGTTTTGAAACAGTCTTTCTGTGGAATCTGCAAGTAGATATTTGGATAGCTTGGAGGATTTCGTTGGAAACGGGATTACAGATATAAAAAGCTAGACAGCAGCATCCACAGAAACTTCCTTGTAATGTGTGCATTCAAGTCACAGAGTTGAACATTCCCTTTCGTACAGCAGTTTTGAAACACTCTTTCTGAAGTATCTGGAAGTGAACTTTAGGAGAGCTTTCATGTCTATAGTGAGAAAGGCTATATCTTCAAATAAAAAATAGACAGAAGCATTTTCATAAACTTGTTTGTGATGTGTGAACTCAGCTAACAGAGGTGGATCTTTCTTTTGATAGAGCAGTTCTGAAAAACACTTTTTGTTGAATCTGCAAGTGGACATTTGGATAGATTTGAAGATTTCGTTGGAAACGGGAATATCTTCATATCAAATCTAGACAGAAGCATTCTCAGAAACGTCTTTGTGATGTTTGCATTCAACTCATAGAGTTGAACATTCCGTTACAGAGAGCAGCTTTGAGGCACTCTTTTTGTAGTATGTGCAAGTGGATATTTGGAGCGCTCTGAGGCCTACGGTGAAAAAGCAAATATCTTCCCATAACCACTAGACAGAAACATTCTCAGAAACTGCTTTATGAAGTATGCACTCACCTAACAGAGAAGAACCTTCCTTTTGACAGAGCAGTTTTGATACACTCTTTTTGTAGAATCTGCAAGTGGATATTTGGATAGCTGTGAAGATTTCGTTGGAAACGGGAATATCTTCCTATAAAATCTAGACAGAAGCATTCTCAGAAACTGCTCTGTGATGTCTGCATTCAAGTCACAGAGTTGAACATTGCCTTTCCTAGAGCAGGTTTGAAACGCTCTTTTTGTAGTATATGGAAGTGGACGTTTCGGACGGTTTTAGGTCCATGGTGATAAAGGGAATATCTTCCCCTACAAGCTAGAAAGAAGCATTCTGTGAAACTTGTTTGTGATGTGTGTACTCAACTAAGAGGGTTGAACCTTTCTTTTTACAGAGCAGTTTTGAAACACTCTTTTTGTAGAATCTGCGAGGGGATATTTGGATAGATTTCAGGATTTCGTTGGAAACGGGAATATCTTCATATAAAATCTCGACAGAAGCATTCTCAGAAACTTCTTTGTGATATGTGCATTCAAGTCACAGAGTTGAATATTCCCTTTCACAGAGTAGGTTTCAAACACTCTTTTTGTAGTATCTGGAAGTGGAAATTTGGAGCGCCTCGACGCCTACGGTGAAAAGGGAAATATCTTCCCATAAAAACTAGACAGAAGGAATCTCAGAATCTGCTTTGGGATATATGCACGCAGCTAACAGAGTTGAACCTTTCTATTGACAGAGCAGTTTTGAAACAGTCTTTCTGTGGAATCTGCAAGTGGATATTTAGATAGCTTGGAGGATTTCGTTGGTAACGGGATTACGTATAAAAATTAGACAGCAGCATCCTCAGAAACTTCTTTGTGATGTGTGCATTCAAGTCACAGAGTTGAACATTCCCTTTCGTACAGCAGTTTTGAACCACTCTTTCTGTAGTATCTGGAAGTGAACATTAGGAAAGCTTTCAGGTCTATGGTGAGAAAGGAAATATCTTCAAATAAAAACTAGACAGAAGCATTCTCATTAACTTGTTTGTGATGTGTGAACTCAGCTAACAGAGGTGGATCTTTCTTTTGATAGAGCAGTTCTGAAAAACATTTTTTGTTGAATCTGCAGGTGGACATTTGGATAGATTTGAAGATTTCGTTGGAAACGGGAATATCTTCATATCAAATCTAGACAGAAGCATTCTCAGAAACGTCTTTGTGATGTTTGCATTCAACTCATAGAGTTGAACATTCCCTTTCAGAGAGCAGCTTTGAAGCACTCTTTTTGTAGCATGTGCAAGTGGACATTTGGAGGGCCCTGAGGCCTACGGGGAAAAAGCAAATATCTTCCCATAACCACTAGACAGAAACATTCTCAGAAACTCCTTTATGACGTATGCACTCACCTAACAGAGAAGAACCTTCCTTTTGACAGAGCAGTTTCGATACACTCTTTTTGTAGAATCTGCAAGTGGATATTTGGATAGCTGTGAAGATTTCGTTGGAAACGGGAATATCTTCCTATAAAATCTAGACAGAAAGCATTCTCAGAAACTGCTCTGTGATGTCTGCATTCAAGTCACAGAGTTGAACATTGCCTTTCATAGAGCAGGTTTGAAACGCTCTTTTTGTAGTATATGGAAGTGGATGTTTCGGACGGTTTGAGGCCCATGGTGATAAAGGGAATATCTTCCCCTACAAGCTAGAAAGAAGCATTCTGTGAAACTTGTTTGTGATGTGTGTACTCAACTAACAGAGTTGAACCTTTCTTTTTACAGAGCAGTTTTGAAACACTCTTTTTGTAGAATCTGCAAGGGGATATTTGGATAGATTTCAGGATTTCGTTGGAAACGGGAATATCTTCATATAAAATCTCGACAGAAGCATTCTCAGAAGCTTCGTTGTGATATGTGCATTCAAGTCACAGAGTTGAATATTCCCTTTCACAGAGTAGGTTTGAAACACACTTTTTGTAGTATCTGGAAGTGGACATTTGGAGCGCCTTGATGCCTACGGTGAAAAGGGAAATATCTTCTCATAAAAAGTAGACAGAAGCAATCTCAGAATCTTCTTTGGGATATATGCACGCAGCTAACAGAGTTGAACCTTTCTATTGACAGAGCAGTTTTGAAACAGTCTTTCTGTGGAATCTGCAAGTGGATATTTGGATAGCTTGGAGGTTTTCTTTAGAAACGGGATTACGTATAAAAAGTAGACTGCAGCCTCCTCAGAAACTTCTTTGTGATGTGTGTATTCAAGTCACAGAGTTGAACATTCCCTTTCGTACAGCAGTTTTGAAACACTCTTTCTGTAGTATCTGGAAGTGAACATTAGGACAGCTTTCAGGTCTATGGTGAGAAAGGAAATATCTTCAAATAAAAACTAGACAGAAGCATTCTGATAAACTTGTTTGTGAAGTGTGAACTCAGCTAACAGAGTTGGATCTTTCTTTCGACACAGCAGTTTTGAAAAACACTTTTTGTTGAATCTGCAAGTAGACATTTGGATAGATTTGAAGATTTCGTTGAAAACGGGAATATGTTCATTTCAAATCTAGACAGAAGCATTCTCAGAAACGTCTTTGTGATGTTTGCATTCAACTCATAGAGTTGAACATTCCCTTTCAGAGAGCAGCTTTGAAGCACTGTTTTTGTAGTATGTGCAAGTGGACATTTGGAGCGCTTTGAGCCCTACGGGGAAAAAGCAAATATCTTCCCGTAACCACTAGACAGAAACATTCTCAGAAACTCCTTTATGATGTATGCACTCACCTAACAGAGAAGAACCTTCCTTTTGACAGAGCAGTTTTGATACACTCTTTTTGTAGAATCTGCAAGTGGATATTTGGATAGCTGTGAAGATTTCGTTGGAAACAGGGAATATCTTCCTATAAAATCTAGACAGAAGCATTCTCAGAAACTGCTCTGTGATGTCTGTATTCAAGTCACAGAGTTGAACATTGCCTTTCATAGAGCAGGTTTGAAACGCTCTTTGTGTAGTATATGGAAGTGGATGTTTCGGACGGTTGGAGGCCCATGGTGATAAAGGGAATATCTTCCCCTACAAGCTAGAAAGAAGCATTCTGTGAAACTTGTTTGTGATGTGTGTACTCAACTAACAGAGTTGAACCTTTCTTTTTACAGAGCAGTTTTGAAACACTATTTTTGTAGAATCTGCGAGGGGATATTTGGATAGATTTCAGGATTTCTTTGGAAACGGGAATATCTTCATATAAAATCTCGACAGAAGCATTCTCAGAAGCTTCTTTGTGATATGTGCATTCAAGTCACAGAGTTCAATATTCCCTTTCACAGAGTAGGTTTGAAACACTCTTTTTGTAGTATCTGGAAGTGGACATTTGGAGCGCCTTGACGCCTACGGTGAAAAGGGAAATATCTTCTCATAAAAAGTAGACAGAAGCAATCTCAGAATCTTCTTTGGGATATATGCACGCTGCTAACAGAGTTGAACCTTTCTATTGACAGAGCAGTTTTGAAACAGTCTTTCTGTGGAATCTGCAAGTGGATATTTGGATAGCTTGGAGGATTTCGTTGGAAACGGGATTACGTATAAAAATTAGACAGCAGCATCCTCAGAAACTTCTTTGTGATGTGTGCATTCAAGTCACAGAGTTGAACATTCCCTTTCGTACAGCAGTTATGAAACACTCTTTCTGTAGTATCTGGAAGTGAACATTAGGACAGCTTTCAGGTCTATGGTGAGAAAGGAAATATCTTCAAATAAAAACTAGACAGAAGCATTCTCATAAACTTGTTTGTGATGTGTGAACTCAGCTAACAGAGGTGGATCTTTCTTTTGATAGAGCAGTTCTGAAAAACACGTTTTGTTGAATCTGCAAGTGGACATTTGGATAGATTTGAAGATTTCGTTGGAAACGGGAATATCGTCATATCAAATCTAGAAAGAAGCATTCTCAGAAACGTCTTTGTGATGTTTGCATTCAACTCATAGAGTTGAACATTCCGTTTCAGAGACCAGCTTTGAAGCACTCTTTTTGTAGTATGTGCAAGTGGATATTTGGAGCGCTCTGAGGCCTACGGTGAAAAAGCAAATATCTTCCCATAACCACTAGACAGAAACATTCTCAGAAACTCCTTTATGAAGTATGTACTCAACTAACAGAGAAGAACCTTCCTTTTGACAGAGCAGTTTTGATACACTCTTTTTGCAGAATCTGCAAGTGGATATTTGGATAGCTGTGAAGATTTCGTTGGAAACGGGAATATCTTCCTATAAAATCTAGACAGAAGCATTCTCAGAAACTGCTCTGTGATGTCTGCATTCAACTCACAGAGTTGAACATTGCCTTTCATAGAGCAGGTTTGAAACACTCTTTTTGTAGCATATGGAAGTGGACGTTTCGGACGGTTTGAGGCCCATGGTGATAAAGGGAATATCTTCCCCTACAAGCTAGAAAGAAGCATTCTGTGAAACTTGTTTGTGATGTGTGTACTCAACTAACAGAGTTGAACCTTTCTTTTTACAGAGCAGTTTTGAAACACTCTTTTTGTAGAATCTGCGAGGGGATATTTGGATAGATTTCAGGATTTCGTTGGAAAGGGGAATATCTTCATATAAAATCTCGACAGAAGCATTCTCAGAAACTTCTTTGTGATATCTGCATTCAAGTCACAGAGTTGAATATTCCCTTTCACAGAGTAGGTTTGAAACACTCTTTTTGTAGTGTCTGGAAGTGGGCATTTGGAGCGCTTTGACGCCTACGGTGAAAAGGGAAATATCTTCCCATAAAAACTAGACAGAAGCAATCTCAGAATCTTCTTTGGGATATATGCACGCAGCTAACAGAGTTGAACCTTTCTATTGGCAGAGCAGTTTTGAAACAGTCTTTCTGTGGAATCTGCAAGTGGATATTTGGATAGCTTGGAGGATTTCGTTGGAAACGGGATTAAGTATAAAAAGTAGACAGCAGCATCCTCAGAAACTTCTTTGTGATGTGTGCATTCAAGTCACAGAGTTGAACATTCCCTTTCGTACAGCAGTTTTGAAACACTCTTTCTGTAGTAACTGGAAGTGAACTTTAGGACAGCTTTCAGGTCTATGGTGAGAAAGGAAATATCTTCAAATAAAAACTAGACAGAAGCATTCTCATAAACTTGTTTGTGATGTGTTAACTCAGCTAACAGAGGTGGATCTTTCTTTTGATAGAGCAGTTCTGAAAAACACTTTTTGTTGAATCTGCAAGTGGACATTTGGATAGATTTGAAGATTTCTTTGGAAACGGGAATACCTTCATATCAAATCTAGACAGAAGCATTCTCAGAAACGTCTTTGTGATGTTTGCATTCAACTCATAGAGTTGAACATTCCGTTTCAGAGAGCAGCTTTGAGGCACTCTTTTTGTAGTATGTGCAAGTGGATATTTGGAGCGCCTCTGAGGCCTACGGTGAAAAAGCAAATATCTTCCCATAACCACTAGACAGAAACATTCTCAGAAACTCCTTTATGACGTATGCACTCACCTAACAGAGAAGAACCTTCCTTTTGAAAGAGCAGTTTTGATACACTCTTTTTGTAGAATCTGCAAGTGGATACTTGGATAGCTGTGAAGATTTCGTTGGAAACGGGAATATCTTCCTATAAAATCTAGACAGAAGCATTCTCAGAAACTGCTCTGTGATGTCTGCATTCAAGTCACAGAGTTGAACATTGCCTTTCATAGAGCAGGTTTGAAACGCTCTTTTTGTAGTATATGGAAGTGGACTTATCGGACGGTTTGAGGCCCATGGTGATAAAGGGAATATCTTCCCCTACAAGCTAGAAAGAAGCATTCTGTGAAACTTGTTTGTGATGTGTGTACTCAACTAACAGAGTTGAACCTTTCTTTTTAAAGAGCAGTTTTGAAACACTCTTTTTGTAGAATCTGCGAGGGGATATTTGGATAGATTTCAGCATTTCGTTGGAAACGGGAATATCTTCATATAAAATCTCGACAGAAGCATTCTCAGAAACTTCTTTGTGATATGTGCATTCAAGTCACAGAGTTGAATATTCCCTTTCACAGAGTAGGTTTGAAACACTCTTTTTGTAGTATCTGGAAGTGGACATTTGGAGCGCCTTGACGCCTACGGTGAAAAGGGAAATATCTTCCCATAAAAACTAGACAGAAGCAATCTCAGAATCTTCTTTGGGATATATGCACGCAGCTAACAGAGTTGAACCTTTCTATTGACAGAGCAGTTTTGAAACAGTCTTTCTGTGGAATCTGCAAGTGGATATTTGGATAGCTAGGAGGATTTCTTTGGAAACGAGATTACGTATAAAAAGTAGACAGCAGCATCCTCAGAAACTTCTTTGTGATGTGTGCATTCAAGTCACAGAGTTGAACATTCCCTTTCGTACAACAGTTTTGAAACACTCTTTCTGCAGTATCTGGAAGTGAACATTAGGACAGCTTTCAGGTCTATGGTGAGAAAGGAAATATCTTCAAATAAAAACTAGACAGAAGCATTCTCATAAACTTGTTTGTGATGTGTGAACTCAGCTAACACACGTGGATCTTTCTTTTGATAGAGCAGTTCTGAAAAACAATTTTTGTTGAATCTGCAAGTGGACATTTGGATAGATTTGAAGATTTCCTTGGAAACGGGAATATCTTCATATCAAATCTAGACAGAAGCATTCTCAGAAACGTCTTTGCGATGTTTGCATTCAACTCATAGAGTTGAACATTCCGTTTCAGAGAACAGCTTTGAGGCACTCTTTTTGTAGTATGTGCAAGTGGATATTTGGAGCGCTCTGAGGCCTACGGTGAAAAAGCAAATATCTTCCCATAACCACTAGACAGAAACATTCTCAGAAACTCCTTTATGACGTATGCACTCACCTAACAGAGAAGAACCTTTCTTTTGACAGAGCAGTTTTGATACACTCTTTTTGTAGAATCTGCAAGTGGATATTTGGATAGCTGTGAAGATTTCGTTGGAAACGGGAATATCTTCCTATAAAATCTAGACAGAAGCATTCTCAGAAACTGCTCTGTGATGTCTGCATTCAAGTCACAGAGTTGAACATTGCCTTTCATAGAGCAGGTTTGAAACGCTCTTTTTGTAGTATATGGAAGTGGATGTTTCGGACGGTTGGAGGCCCATGGTGATAAAGGGAATATCTTCCGCTACAAGCTAGAAAGAAGCATTGTGTGAAACTTGTTTGTGATGTGTGTACTCAACTAACAGAGTTGAACGTTTGTTTTTACAGAGCAGTTTTGAAACACTCTTTGTGTAGAATCTGCGAGGGGATATTTGGATACATTTCAGGATTTCGTTGGAAACGGGAATATCTTCATATAAAATCTCGACAGAAGCATTCTCAGAAGCTTCTTTGTGATATGTGCATTCAAGTCACAGAGTTGAATATTCCCTTTCACAGAGTAGGTTTGAAGCACTCTTTTTGTAGTATCTGGAAGTGGACATTTGGAGCGCCTTGACGCCTACGGTGAAAAGGGAAATATCTTCTCATAAAAAGTAGACAGAAGCAATCTCAGAATCTTCTTTGGGATATATGCACGCAGCTAACAGAGTTGAACCTTTCTATTGACATAGCAGTTTTGAAACAGTCTTTCTGTGGAATCTGCAAGTGGATATTTGGATAGCTTGGAGGATTTCGTTGGAAACGGGATTACGTATAAAAAGTACACAGCAGCATCCTCAGAAACTTCCTTGTGATGTGTGCATTCAAGTCACAGAGTTGAACATTCCCTTTCGTACAGCAGTTTTGAAACACTCTTTCTGTAGTATCTGGAAGTGAACATTAGGACAGCTTTCAGGTCTATGGTGAGAAAGGAAATATCTTCAAATAAAAACTAGACAGAAGCATTCTCATAAACTTGTTTGTGATGTGTGAACTGAGCTAACAGAGGTGGATCTTTCTTTTGATAGAGCAGTTCTGAAAAACACTTTTTGTTGAATCTGCAAGTGGACATTTGGATAGATTTGAAGATTTCGTTGGAAACGGGAATATCTTCATATCAAATCTAGACAGAAGCATTCTCAGAAACGTCTTTGTGATGTTTGCATTCAACTCATAGAGTTGAACATTCCCTTTCAGAGAGCGGCTTTGAAGCACTCTTTTTGTAGCATGTGCAAGTGGACATTTGGAGGGCCCTGAGGCCTACGGGGAAAAAGCAAATATCTTCCCATAACCACTAGACAGAAACATTCTCAGAAACTCCTTTAAACGTATGCACACACCTAACAGAGAAGAACCTTCCTTTTGACAGAGCAGTTTTGATACACTCTTTTTGTAGAATCTGCAAGTGGATATTTGGATAGCTGTGAAGATTTCGTTGGAAACGGGAATATCTTCCTATAAAATCTAGACAGAAGCATTCTCAGAAAGTGCTCTGTGATGTCTGCATTCAAGTCACAGAGTTGAACATTGCCTTTCATAGAGCAGGTTTGAAACACTCTTTTTGTAGTATATGGAAGTGGACGTTTCGGACGGTTTGAGGCCCATGGTGATAAAGGGAATATCTTCCCCTACAAGCTAGAAAGAAGCATTCTGTGAAACTTGTTTGTGATGTGTGTACTCAACTAACAGACTTGAACCTTTCTTTTTACAGAGCAGTATTGAAACACTCTTTTTGAAGAATCTGCGAGGGGATATTTGGATAGATTTCAGGATTTCGTTGGAAACGGGAATATCTTCATATAAAATCTCGACAGAAGCATTCTCAGAAACTTCCTTGTGATATGTGCATTCAAGTCACAGAGTTGAATATTTCCTTTCACAGAGTAGGTTTGAAACACTCTTTTTGTAGTATCTGGAAGTGGACATTTGGAGCGCCTTGACGCCTACGGTGAAAAGGGAAATATCTTCCCATAAAAACTAGACAGAAGCAATTTCAGAATCTTCTTTGGGATATATGTACGCAGCTAATAGAGTTGAACCTTTCTATTGACAGAGCAGTTTTGAAACAGTCTTTCTGTGGAATCTGCAAGTGGATATTTGGATAGCTTGGAGGATTTCGTTGGAAACGGGATTACGTATAAAAAGTAGACAGCAGCATCCTCAGAAACTTCTTTGTGATGTGTGCATTCAAGTCACAGAGTTGAACATTCCCTTTCATACAGCAGTTTTGAAACACTCTTTCTGTAGTATCTGGAAGTGAACTTTAAGAGAGCTTTCAGGTATATAGTGAGAAAGGATATATCTTCAAATAAAAACTAGACAGAAGCATTCTCATAAACTTGTTCGTGATGTGTGAACTCAGCTAACACACGTGGATCTTTCTTTTGATAGAGCAGTTCTGAAAAACCCTTTTTGTTGAATCTGCAAGAGGACATTTGGATAGATTTGAAGATTTCGTTGGAAACGGGAATATCTTCATATCAAATCTAGACAGAAGCATTCTCAGAAACGTCTTTGTGATGTTTCAATTAAACTCATGGAGTTGAACATTCCCTTTCAGAGAGTAGCTTTGAAGCACTCTTTTTGTAGTATGTGCAAGTAGATATTTGGAGCGCTCTGAGGCCTACGGGGAAAAAGCAAATATCTTCCCATAACCACTAGACAGAAACATTCTCAGAAACTCCTTTATGACGTATGCACTCACCTAACAGAGAAGAACCTTCCTTTTGACAGAGCACTTTTGATACACTCTTTTTGTAGAATCTGAAAGTGGATATTTGGATAGCTGTGAAGATTTCGTTGGAAACGGGAATATCTTCCTATAAAATCTAGACAGAAGCATTCTCAGAAACTGCTCTGTGATGTCTGCATTCAAGTCACAGAGTTGAACATTGCCTTTCATAGAGCAGGTTTGAAACGCTCTTTTTGTAGTATATGGAAGTGGACTTTTCGGACGGTTTGAGGCCCATGGTGATAAAGGGAATATCTTCCCCTACAAAGCTAGAAAGAAGCATTCTGTGAAACTTGTTTGTGATGTGTGTACTCAACTAACAGAGTTGAACCTTTCTTTTTACAGAGCAGTTTTGAAATACTCTTTTTGTAGAATCTGCGAGGGGATATTTGGATAGATTTCAGGATTTCGTTGGAAACGGGAATATCTTAATATAAAATCTCGACAGAAGCATTCTCAGAAACTGCTCTGTGATGTCTGCATTCAAGTCACAGAGTTGAATATTCCCTTTCACAGAGTAGGTTTGAAACACTCTTTTTGTAGTATCTGGAAGTGGACATTTTGAGCGCCTTGACACCTATGGTGAAAAGGGAAATATCTTCCCATAAAAACTAGACAGAAACAATCTCAGAATCTTCTTTGGGATATATGCACGCAGCTAACAGAGTTGAACCTTTCTATTGACAGAGCAGTTTTGAAACAGTCTTTCTGTGGAATCTGCAAGTGGATATTTGGATAGCTTGGAGGATTTCGTTGGAAACGGGATTAGGTATAAAAAGTAGACAGCAGCATCCTCAGAAACTTCTTTGTGATGTGTGCATTCAAGTCACAGAGTTGAATATTCCTTTTCGTACAGCAGTTTTGAAAAACTCTTTCTGTAGTATCTGGAAGTGAACATTAGGACAGCATTCAGGTCTATGGTGAGAAAGGAAATATCTTCAAATAAAAACTACACAGAAGCATTCTCATAAACTTGTTTGTGATGTGTGAACTCAGCTAACAGAGGTGGATCTTTCTTTTGATAGAGCAGTTCTGAAAAACACTTTTTGTTGAATCTGCAAGTGGACCTTTGGATAGATTTGAAGATTTCGTTGGAAACGGGAATATCTTCATATCAAATCTAGACAGAAGCATTCTCAGAAACGTCTTTGTGATGTTTGCATTCAACTCATAGAGTTGAACATTCCCTTTCAGAGAGCAGCTTTGAAGCACTCTTTTTGTAGTATGTGCAAGTGGATATTTGGAGCGCTCTGAGGCCTACGGTGAAAAAGCAAATATCTTCCCATAACCACTAGACAGAAACATTCTCAGAAACTCCTTTATGACGTATGCACTCACCTAACAGTAGAAGAACCTTCCTTTTGACAGAGCAGTTTTGATACACTCTTTTTGTAGAATCTGCAAGTGGATATTTGGATAGCTGTGAAGATTTCGTTGGAAACGGGAATATCTTCCTATAAAATCTAGACAGAAGCATTCTCAGAAACTGCTCTGTGATGTCTGCATTCAAGTCACAGAGTTGAACATTGCCTTTCATAGAGCAGGTTTGAAACGCTCTTTTTGTAGTATATGGAAGTGGAAGTTTCGGTCGGTTTGAGGCCCATGGTGATAAAGGGAATATCTTCCCCTACAAGCTAGAAAGAAGCATTGTGTGAAACTTGTTTGTGATGTGTGTACTCAACTAACAGAGTTGAACCTTTCTTTTTACAGAGCAGTTTTGAAACACTCTTTTTGTAGAATCTGCGAGGGGATATTTGGATACATTTCAGGATTTCCTTGGAAACGGGAATATCTTCATATAAAATGTCGACAGAAGCATTCTCAGAAACTTCATTGTGATATCTGCATTCAAGTCACACAGTTGAATATTCCCTTTCACAGAGTAGGTTTGAAACACTCTTTTTGTAGTATCTGTAAGTGGACATTTGGAGCGCCTTGACACCTACGGTGAAAAGGGAAATATCTTCCCATAAAAACTAGACAGAAGCAATCTCAGAATCTTCTTTGGGATATATGCACGCAGCTAACAGAGTTGAACCTTTCTATTGACAGAGCAGTTTTGAAACAGTCTTTCTGTGGAATCTGCAAGTGGATATTTGGATAGCTTGGAGGATTTCGTTGGAAACGGGATTACGTATAAAAAGTAGCCAGCAGCATCCTCAGAAACTTCTTTGTGATGTGTGCATTCAAGTCACAGAGTTGAACATTCCCTTTCGTACAGCAGTTTTGAAACACTCTTTCTGTAGTATCTGGAAGTGAACATTAGGACAGCTTTCAGGTCTATGGTGAGAAAGGAAATATCTTCAAATAAAAACTGGACAGAAGCATTCTGATAAACTTGTTTGTGAAGTGTGAACTCAGCTAACAGAGGTGGATCTTTCCTTTGATAGAGCAATTCTGAAAAACACTTTGTTGAATCTGCAAGTGGACATTTGGATAGATTTGAAGATTTCGTTGGAAACGGGAATATCTTCATATCAAATCTAGACAGAAGCATTCTCAGAAACGTCTTTGCGATGTTTGCATTCAACTCATAGAGTTGAACATTCCGTTTCAGAGAGCAGCTTTGAGGCACTCTTTTTGTAGTATGTGCAAGTGGATATTTGGAGCGCTCTGAGGCCTTCGGTGAAAAAGCAAATATCTTCCCATAACCACTAGACAGAAACATTCTCAGAAACTCCTTTATGACGTATGCACTCACCTAAAAGAGAAGAACCTTCCTTTTGACAGAGCAGTTTTGATACACTCTTTTTGTAGAATCTGCAAGTGGATATTTGGATAGCTGTGAAGATTTCGTTGGAAACGGGAATATCTTCCTATAAAATCTAGACAGAAGCATTCTCAGAAACTGCTCTGTGATGTCTGCATTCAAGTCACAGAGTTGAACATTGTCTTTCATAGAGCAGGTTTGAAGCGTTCTTTTTGTACTATATGGAAGTGGACGTTTCGGACGGTTTGAGGCCCATGGTGATAAAGGGAATATCTTCCCCTACAAGCTAGAAAGAAGCATTCTGTGAAACTTGTTTGTGATGTGTGTACTCAACTAACAGAGTTGAACCTTTCTTTTTACAGAGCAGTTTTGAAACACTCTTTTTGTAGAATCTGCGAGGGGATATTTGGATAGATTTCAGGATTTCGTTGGAAAGGGGATTATCTTCATATAAAATCTCGACAGAAGCATTCTCAGAAGCTTCTTTGTGATATGTGCATTCAAGTCACAGAGTTGAATATTCCCTTTCACAGAGTAGGTTTGAAACACTCTTTTTGTAGTATCTGGAAGTGGACATTTGGAGCGCCTTGACGCCTACGGTGAAAAGGGAAATATCTTCTCATAAAAAGTAGACAGAAGCAATCTCAGAATCTTCTTTGGGATATATGCACGCAGCTAACAGAGTTGAACCTTTCTATTGACAGAGCAGTTTTGAAACAGTCTTTCTGTGGAATCTGCAAGTGGATATTTGGATAGCTTGGAGGATTTCGTTGGAAACGGGATTACGTATAAAAAGAAGACAGCAGCATCCTCAGAAACATCTTTGTGATGTGGGCATTCAAGTCACAAAGTTGAACATTCCCTTTCGTACAGCAGTTTTGAAACACTCTTTCTGTAGTATCTGGAAGTGAACATTAGGACAGCTTTCAGGTCTATGGTGAGAAAGGAAATATCTTCAAATAAAAACTAGACAGAAGCATTCTCATAAACTTGTTTGTGATGTGTGAACTCAGCTAACAGAGGTGGATCTTTCTTTTGATAGAGCAGTTCTGAAAAACACTTTTTGTTGAATCTGCAAGTGGACATTTGGATAGATTTGAAGATTTCGTTGGAAACGGGAATATCTTCATATCAAATGCTAGACAGAAGCATTCTCAGAAACGTCTCTGTGATGTTTGCATTCAACTCATAGAGTTGAACATTCCGTTTCAGAGAGCAGCTTTGAGGCACTCTTTTTGTAGTATGTGCAAGTGGATATTTGGAGCGCTCTGAGGCCTACGGTGAAAAAGCAAATATCTTCCCATAACCACTAGACAGAAACATTCTCAGAAACTCCTTTATGACGTATGCACTCACCTAACAGAGAAGAACCTTCCTTTTGACAGAGCAGTTTTGATACACTCTTTTTGTAGAATCTGCAAGTGGATATTTGGATAGCTGTGAAGATTTCGTTGGAAACGGGAATATCTTCCTATAAAATCTACACAGAAGCATTCTCAGGAACTGCTCTGTGATGTCTGCATTCAAGTCACAGAGTTGAACATTGCCTTTCCTAGAGCAGGTTTGAAACGCTCTTTTTGTAGTATATGGAAGTGGACGTTTCGGACGTTTTGAGGCCCATGGTGATGAAGGGAATATCATCCCCTACAAGCTAGAAAGAAGCATTCTGTGAAACTTGTTTGTGATGTGTGTACTCAACTAACAGAGTTGAACCTTTCTTTTTACAGAGCAGTTTTGAAACACTCTTCTTGTAGAATCTGCGAGGGGATATTTGGATAGATTTCAGGATTTTGTTGGAAACGGGAATATCTTAATATAAAATTCTCGACAGAAGCATTCTCAGAAACTTCTTTGTGATATGTGCATTCAAGTCACAGAGTTGAATATTCCCTTTCACCGAGTAGGTTTGAAACACTCTTTTTGTAGTATCTGGAAGTGGACATTTGGAGCGCCTTGACACCTACGGTGAAAAGGGAAATATCTTCCCATAAAAACTAGACAGAAGCAATCTCAGAATCTTCTTTGGGATATATGTACGCAGCTAATAGAGTTGAACCTTTCTATTGACAGAGCAGTTTTGAAACAGTCTTTCTGTGGAATCTGCAAGTGGATATTTGGATAGCTTGGAGGATTTCGTTGGAAACGGGATTACGTATAAAAAGTAGACAGCAGCATCCTCAGAAACATCCTTGTGATGTGTGCATTCCAGTCACAGAGTTGAACATTCCCGTTCGTACAGCAGTTTTGAAACACTCTTTCTGTAGTATCTGGAAGTGAACTTTAGGAGAGCTTTCAGGTCTATAGTGAGAAAGGATATATCTTCAAATAAAAACTAGACAGAAGCATTCTCATTAACTTGTTTGTGATGTGTGAACTCAGCTAACAGAGGTGGATCTTTCTTTTGATAGAGCAGTTCTGAAAAACATTTTTTGTTGAATCTGCAAGTGGACATTTGGATAGATTTGAAGATTTCGTTGGAAACGGGAATATCTTCATATCAAATCTAGACAGAAGCATTCTCAGAAACGTCTTTGTGATGTTTGCATTCAACTCATAGAGTTGAACATTCCCTTTCAGAGAGCAGCTTTGAAGCACTCTTTTTGTAGCATGTGCAAGTGGACATTTGGAGGGCCCTGAGGCATACGGGGAAAAAGCAAATATCTTCCCATAACCACTAGACAGAAACATTCTCAGAAACTCCTTTATGACGTATGCACTCACCTAACAGAGAAGAACCTTCCTTTTGACAGAGCAGTTTTGATACACTCTTTTTGTAGAATCTGCAAGTGGATATTTGGATAGCTGTGAAGATTTCGTTGGAAACTGGAATATCTTCCTATAAAATCTAGACAGAAGCATTCTCAGAAACTGCTCTGTGATGTCTGCATTCAAGTCACAGAGTTGAACATTGCCTTTCATAGAGCAGGTTTGAAACGCTCTTTTTGTAGTATATGGAAGTGGACTTTTCGGACGGTTTGAGGCCCATGGTGATAAAGGGAATATCTTCCCCTACAAGCTAGAAAGAAGCATTGTGTGAAACTTGTTTGTGATGTGTGTACTCAACTAAGAGAGTTGAACCTTTCTTTTTACAGAGCAGTTTTGAAACACTCTTTTTGTAGAATCTGCGAGGGGATATTTGGATAGATTTCAGGATTTCGTTGGAAACGGGAATATCTTCATATAAAATCTCGACAGAAGCATTCTCAGAAACTTCTTTGTAATATGTGCATTCAAGTCACAGAGTTGAATATTCCCTTTCACAGAGTAGGTTTGAAACACTCTTTTTGTAGTATCTGGAAGTGGACATTTGGAGCGCCTTGACGCCTACGGTGAAAAGGGAAATATCTTCCCATAAAAACTAGACAGAAGTAATCTCAGAATCTTCTTTGGGATATATGCACGCAGCTAACAGAGTTGAACCTTTCTATTGACAGAGCAGTTTTGAAACAGTCTTTCTGTGGAATCTGCAAGTGGATATTTGGATAGCTTGGAGGATTTCGTTGGAAACGGGATTAAGTATAAAAAGTAGACAGCAGCATCCTCAGAATCTTCTTTGTGATGTGTGCATTCAAGTCACAGAGTTGAACATTCCCTTTCGTACAGCAGTGTTGAAACACTCTTTCTGTAGTATCTGGAAGTGAACATTAGGACAGCTTTCAGGTCTATGGTGAGAAAGGAAATATCTTCAAATAAAAACTAGACAGAAGCATTCTCATAAACTTCTTTGTGATGTGTGAACTCAGCTAAGAGACGTGGATCTTTCTTTTGATAGAGCAGTTCTGAAAAACACTTTTTGTTGAATCTGCAAGTGGACATTTGGATAGATTTGAAGATTTCGTTGGAAACGGGAATAACTTCATTTCAAATCTAGACAGAAGCATTCTCAGAAATGTCTTTGTGATGTTTGCATTCAACCCATAGAGTTGAACATTCCCTTTCAGAGAGCAGCTTTGAAGCACTCTTTTTGTAGTATGTGCAAGGGGATATTTGGAGCGCTCTGAGGCCTAAGGTGAAAAATCAAATATCTTCCCATAACCACTAGACAGAAACATTCTCAGAAACTCCTTTATGACGTATGCACTCACCTAACAGAAAAGAACCTTCCTTTTGACAGAGCAGTTTTGATACACTCTTTTTGTGGAATCTGCAAGTGGATATTTGGATAGCTGTGAAGATTTCGTTGGAAACGGGAATATCTTCCTACAAAATCTAGACAGAAGCATTCTCAGAAACTGCTCTGTGATGTCTGCATTCAAGTCACAGCAGTTGAACATTGCCTTTCCTAGAGCAGGTTTGAAACGCTCTTTTTGTAGTATATGGAAGTGGACGTTTCGGACGGTTTGAGGCCCATGGTGATAAAGGGAATATCTTCCCCTACAAGCTAGAAAGAAGCATTCTGTGAAACTTGTTTGTGATGTGTGTACTGAAGTAACAGAGTTGAACCTTTCTTTTTACAGAGCAGTTTTGAAACACTCTTTTTGTAGAATCTGCGAGGGGATATTTGGATAGATTTCAGGATTTCGTTGGAAACGGGAATATCTTTATAGAAAATCTCGACAGAAGCATTCTCAGAAACTTCTTTGTGATATGTGCATTCAAGTCACAGAGTTGAATATTCACTTTCACAGAGTAGGTTTGAAACACTCCTTTTGTAGTATCTGGAAGTGGACATTTGGAGCGCCTTGACGCCTACGGTGAAAAGGGAAATATCTTCCCATAAAAACTAGACAGAAGCAATCTCAGAATCTTCTTTGGGATATATGCACGCAGCTAACAGAGTTGAACCTTTCCATTGACAGAGCAGTTTTGAAACAGTCTTTCTGTGGAATCTGCAAGTGGATATTTGGATACCTTGGAGGATTTCGTTGGAAACGGGATTACGTATAAAAAGTAGACAGCAACATCCTCAGAAACTTCTTTGTGATGTGTGCATTCAAGTCACAGAGTTGAACATTCCCTTTCGTACAGCAGTTTTGAAACACTCTTTCTGTAGTATCTGGAAGTGAACATTAGGACAGCTTTCAGCTCTATGGTGAGAAAGGAAATATCTTCAAATAAAAACTAGACAGAAGCATTCTCATAAACTTGTTTGTGATGTGTGAACTCAGCTAACAGAGGTGGATCTTTCTTTTGATAGAGCAGTTCTGAAAAACACTTTTTGTTGAATCTGCAAGTGGACATTTGGATAGATTTGAAGATTTCGTTGGAAACGGGAATATCTTCAATATCAAATCTAGACAGAAGCATTCTCAGAAACGTCTTTGTGATGTTTGCATTCAACTCATAGAGTGGAACATTCCCTTTCAGAGAGCAGCTTTGAAGCACTCTTTTTGTAGTATGTGCAAGTGGATATTTGGAGCGCTCTGAGGCCTACGGTGAAAAAGCAAATATCTTCCCATAACCACTAGACAGAAACATTCTCAGAAACTCCTTTATGACGTATGTACTCAACTAACAGAGAAGAACCTTCCTTTTGACAGAGCAGTTTTGATACACTCTTTTTGTAGAATCTGCAAGTGGATATTTGTATAGCTGTGAAGATTTCGTTGGAAACGGGAATATCTTCCTATAAAATCTAGACAGAAGCATTCTCAGAAACTGCTCTGTGATGTCTGCATTCAAGTCACAGAGTTGAACATTGCCTTTCATAGAGCAGGTTTGAAATGCTCTTTTTGTAGTATATGGAAGTGGACGTTTCAGACAGTTTGAGGCCCATGGTGATAAAGGGAATATCTTCCCCTACAAGCTAGAAAGAAGCATTCTGTGAAACTTGTTTGTGATGTGTGTACTCAACTAACAGAGTTGAACTTTTCTTTTTACAGAGCAGTTTTGAAACACTCTTTTTGTAGAATCTGCGAGGGGATATTTGGATAGATTTCAGAATTTCGTTGGAAACGGGAATATCTTCATATAAAATCTCGACAGAAGCATTCTCAGAAACTTCTTTGTGATATGTGCATTCAAGTCACAGAGTTGAATATTCCCTTTCACAGAGTAGGTTTGAAACACTCTTTTTGTAGTATCTGGAAGTGGACATTTGGAGCGCCTTGACGCCTACGGTGAAAAGGGAAATATCTTCCCATCAAAACTAGACAGAAGCAATCTCAGCAATCTTCTTTGTGATATATGCACGCAGCTAACAGAGTTGAACCTTTCTATTGACTGAGCAGATTTGAAACAGTCTTTCTGTGGAATCTGCAAGTGGATATTTGGATAGATTGGAGGATTTCGTTGGAAACGGGATTACGTATAAAAAGTACACAGCAGCATCCTCAGAAACTTCCTTGTGATGTGTGCATTCAATTCACAGAGTTGAACATTCCCTTTCGTACAGCAGTTTTGAAACACTCTGTAGTATCTGGAAGTGAACATTAGGACAGCTTTCAGCTCTATGGTGAGAAACGAAATATCTTCAAATAAAAACTAGACAGAAGCATTCTCATAAACTTGTTTGTGATGTGTGAACTCAGCTAACAGAGGTGGATCTTTCTTTTGATAGAGCAGTTCTGAAAAACACTTTTTGTTGAATCTGCAAGTGGACATTTGGATAGATTTGAAGATTTCGTTGGAAACGGGAACATCTTCATATCAAATCTAGACAGAAGCATTCTCAGAAACGTCTTTGTGATGTTTGCATTCAACTCATAGAGTTGAACATTCCCTTTCAGAGAGCAGCTTTGAGGCACTCTTTTTGTAGTATGTGCAAGTGGATATTTGGAGCGCTCTGAGGCCTACGGTGAAAATGCAAATATCTTCCCATAACCACTAGACAGAAACATTCTCAGAAACTCCTTTATGACGTATGCACTCAACTAACAGAAAAGAACCTTCCTTTTGACAGAGCAGTTTTGATACACTCTTTTTGTAGAATCTGCAAGTGGATATTTGGGTAGCTGTGAAGATTTCGTTGGAAACGGGAATATCTTCCTATAAAATCTAGACAGAAGCATTCTCAGAAACTGCTCTGTGATGTCTGCATTCAAGTCACAGAGTTGAACATTGCCTTTCCTAGAGCAGGTTTGAAACGCTCTTTTTGTAGTATATGGAAGTGGACGATTCGGACGGTTTGAGGCCCATGGTGATAAAGGGAATATCTTCCCCTACAAGCTAGAAAGAAGCATTCTGTGAAACTTGTTTGTGATGTGTGTACTCAACTAACAGAGTTGAACCTTTCTTTTTACAGAGCAGTTTTGAAACACTCTTTTTGTAGAATCTGCGAGGGGATATTTTGATAGATTTCAGGATTTCGTTGGAAACGGGAATATCTTCCTATAAAATCTCGACAGAAGCATTCTCAGAAACTTCTTTGTGACATGTGCATTCAAGTCACAGAGTTGAATATTCCCTTTCACAGAGTAGGTTTGAAACACTCTTTTTGTAGTATCTGGAAGTGGACATTTGGAGCGCCTTGACGCCTACGGTGAAAAGGGAAATATCTTCCCATAAAAACTAGACAGAAGCAATCTCAGAATCTTCTTTGGGATATATGCACGCAGCTAACAGAGTTGAACCTTTCTATTAACAGAGCAGTTTTGAAACAGTCTTTCTGTGGAATCTGCAAGTGGATATTTGGATAGCTTGGAGGATTTCGTTGGAAACGGGATTACGTATAAAAAGTAGACAGCAGCCTCCTCAGAAACTTCTTTGTGATGTGTGCATTCAAGTCACAGAGTTGAACATTCCCTTTCGTACAGCAGTTTTGAAACACTCTTTCTGTAGTATCTGGAAGTGAACATTAGTACAGCTTTCAGGTCTATGGTGAGAAAGGCAATATCTTCAAATAAAAACTAGACAGAAGCATTCTCATAAACTTGTTTGTGATGTGTGAACTCAGCTAACAGAGGTGGATCTTTCTTTTGATAGAGCAGTTCTGAAAAACACTTTTTGTTGAATCTGCAAGTGGAGATTTGGATAGATTTGAAGATTTCGTTGGAAACGGGAATATCTTCATATCAAATCTAGACAGAAGCATTCTCAGAAACGTCTTTGTGATGTTTGCATTCAACTCATAGAGTTGAACATTCCCTTTCAGAGAGCAGCTTTGAAGCACTCTTTTTGTAGCATGTGCAAGTGGACATTTGGAGCGCCCTGAGGCCTACGGGGAAAAAGCAAATATCTTCCCATAACCACTAGACAGAAACATTCTCAGAAACTCCTTTATGACGTATGCACTCACCTAACAGAGAAGAACCTTGCTTTTGACAGAGCAGTTTTGATACACTCTTTTTGTAGCATCTGCAAGTGGATATTTGGATAGCTGTGAAGATTTCGTTGGAAACGGGAATATCTTCCTATAAAATCTAGACAGAAGCATTCTCAGAAACTGCTCTGTGATGTCTGCATTCAAGTCACAGAGTTGAACATTGCCTTTCATAGAGCAGGTTTGAAACGCTCTTTTTGTAGTATATGGAAGTGGACTTTTCGGACGGTTTGAGGCCCATGGTGATAAAGGGAATATCTTCCCCTGCAAGCTAGAAAGAAGCATTCTGTGAAACTTGTATTGTGAGGTGTGTACTCAACTAACAGAGTTGAACTTTTCTTTTTACAGAGCAGTTTTGAAACACTCTTTTTGTAGAATCTGCGAGGGGATATTTGGATAGATTTCAGGATTTCGTTGGAAAGGGGAATATCTTCATATAAAATCTCGACAGAAGCATTCTGAGAAACCTCTTTGTGATACCTGCACTCAAGTCACAGAGTTGAATATTCCCTTTCACAGAGTAGGTTTGAAACACTCTTTTTGTAGTATTTGGAAGTGGACATTTGGAGCGCCTTGACGCCTACGGTGAAAAAGGAAATATGAAATATCTTCCCATAAATACTAGACAGAAGCAATCTCAGAATCTTCTTTGGGATGTATGCACCCAGCTAACAGAGTTGAAACTTTCTATTGACAGAGCAGTTTTGAAACAGTCTTTTAGTGGAATCTGCAAGTGGATATTTTGATAGCTTGGAGGATTTCTTTGGAAACGGGATTATGTATACAAAGTAGACAGCAGCATCCTCAGAAACTTCTTTGTGATGTGTGCATTCAAGTCACAGAGTTGAACATTCCTTTTCGTACAGCAGTTTTGAAACACTCTTTCTGTAGTATCTGGAAGTGAACATTATGACAGCTTTCAGGTCTATGGTGAGAAAGGAAATATCTTCAAATAAAAACGAGACAGAAGCATTCTCATAAACTTGTTTGTGATGTGTGAACTCAGCTAACACACGTGGATCTTTCTTTTGATAGAGCAGTTCTGAAAAACAATTTTTGTAGAATCTGCAAGTGGACATTTGGATAGATTTGAAGATTTCCTTGGAAACGGGAATATCTTCATATCAAATCTAGACAGAAGCATTCTCAGAAACGTCTTTGTGATGTTTGCATTCAACTCATAGAGTTGAACATTCCGTTTCAGAGAGCAGCTTTGAAGCACTCTTTTTGTAGTATGTGCAAGTGGATATTTGGAGCGCTCTGAGGCCTACGGGGAAAAAGCAAATATCTTCCCATAACCACTAGACAGAAACATTCTCAGAAACTGCTTTATGACGTATGTACTCAACTAACAGAGAAGAACCTTCCTTTTGACAGAGCAGTTTTGATACACTCTTTTTGTAGAATCTGCAAGTGCATATTTGGATAGCTGTGAAGATTTCGTTGGAAACGGGAATATCTTCCTATAAAATCTAGACAGAAGCATTCTCAGAAACTGCTCTGTGATGTCTGCATTCAAGTCACAGAGTTGAACATTGCCTTTCCTAGAGCAGGTTTGAAACGCTCTTTTTGTAGTATATGGAAGTGGACGTTTCGGACGCTTTGAGGCCCATGGTGATAAAGGGAATATCTTCCCCTACAAGCTAGAAAGAAGCATTCTGTGAAACTTGTTTGTGATGTGTGTACTCAACTAACAGAGTTGAACCTTTCTTTTTACAGAGCAGTTTTGAAACACTCTTTTTGTAGAATCTGCGAGGGGATATTTGGATACATTTCAGAATTTCGTTGGAAACGGGAATATCTTCATATAAAATCTCGACAGAAACATTCTCAGAAACTTCCTTGTGATATGTGCATTCAAGTCACAGACTTGAATATTCCCTTTCACAGAGTAGGTTTGAAACACTCTTTTTGTAGTATCTGGAAGTGGACATTTGGAGCGCCTTGACGCCTACGGTGAAAAGGGAAATATCTTCCCATAAAAACTAGACAGAAGCAATCTCAGAATCTTCTTTGGGATATATGCACGCAGCTAACAGAGTTGAACCTTTCTATTGACACAGCAGTTTTGAAACAGTCTTTCTGTGGAATCTGCAAGTGGATATTTGGATAGCTTGGAGGATTTCGTTGGAAACGGGATTACGTATAAAAAGTAGACAGCAGCATCCTCAGAAACTTCTTTGTGATGTGTGCATTCAAGTCACAGAGTTGAACATTCCCTTTCGTACAGCAGTTTTGAAACACTCTTTCTGTAGTATCTGAAGTGAACAATAGGACAGCTTTCAGGTCTATGATGAGAAAGGAAATATCTTCAAATAAAAACTAGACAGAAGCATTCTCATAAACTTGTTTGTGATGTGTGAACTCAGCAAACAGAGGTGGATCTTTCTTTTGATAGAGCAGTTCTGAAAAACACTTTTTGTTGAATCTGCAAGTGGACATTTGGATAGATTTGAAGATTTCGTTCGAAACGGGAATATCTTCATATCAAATCTAGACAGAAGCATTCTCAGAAAGGTCTTTGTGATGTTTGCATTCAACCCATAGAGTTGAACATTCCGTTTCAGAGAGCAGCTTTGAAGCACTCTTTTTGTAGTATGTGCAAGGGGATATTTTGAGCGCTTTGAGGCCTAAGGTGAAAAAGCAAATATCTTCCCATAACCACTAGACAGAAACATTCTCAGAAACTCCTTTATGACGTATGTACTCAACTAACAGAGAAGAACCTTCCTTTTGACAGAGCAGTTTTGATACACTCTTTTTGTAGAATCTGCAAGTGGATATTTGGATAGCTGTGAAGATTTCGTTGGAAACGGGAATATCTTCCTATAAAATGCCAGACAGAAGCATTCTCAGAAACTGCTCTGTGATGTCTGCATTCAAGTCACAGAGTTGAACATTGCCTTTCATAGAGCAGGTTTGAAACGCTCTTTTTGTAGTATATGTAAGTGGATGTTTCGGACGGTTGGAGGCCCATGGTGATAAAGGGAATATCTTCCCCTACAAGCTAGAAAGAAGCATTCTGTGAAACTTGTTTGTGATGTGTGTACTCAACTAACAGAGTTGAACCTTTCTTTTTACAGAGCAGTTTTGAAACACTCTTTTTGTAGAATCTGCGAGGGGATATTTGGATACATTTCAGCATTTCGTTGGAAACGGGAATATCTTCATATAAAATCTCGACAGAAGCATTCTCAGAAACTTCCTTGTGATATGTGCATTCAAGTCACAGAGTTGAATATTCCCTTTCACAGAGTAGGTTTGAAACACTCTTTTTGTAGTATCTGGAAGTGCACATTTGGAGCGCCTTGACGCCCACGGTGAAAAGGGAAATATCTTCCCATAAAAACTAGACAGAAGCAATCTCAGCAATCTTCTTTGGGATATATGCACGCAGCTAACAGAGTTGAACCTTTCTATTGACAGAGCAGTTTTGAAACAGTCTTTCTGTGGAATCTGCAAGTGGATATTTGGATAGCTTGGAGGATTTCGTTGGAAACGGGATTACGTATATAAAGTAGACCACAGCATCCTCAGAAACTTCTTTGTGATGTGTGCATTCAAGTCACAGAGTTGAACATTCCCTTTCGTACAGCAGTTTTGAAACACTCTTTCTGTAGTATCTGGAAGTGTACATTAGGACAGCTTTCAGGTCTATGGTGAGAAAGGAGATATCTTCAAATAAAAACTAGACAGAAGCATTCTCATAAACTTGTTTGTGATGTGTGAACTCAGCTAACAGAGGTGGATCTTTCTTTTGATAGAGCAGTTCTGAAAAACACGTTTTGTTGAATCTGCAAGGGGACATTTGGATAGATTTGAAGATGTCGTTGGAAACGGGAATATCTTCATATCAAATCTAGACAGAAGCATTCTCGGAAACGTCTTTGTGATGTTTGCATTCAACTCAGAGAGTTGAACATTCCGTTTCAGAGAGCAGCTTTGAAGCACTCTTTTTGTAGTATGTGCAAGTGGATATTTGGAGCGCTCTGAGGCCTACGGTGAAAAAGCAAATATCTTCCCATAACCACTAGACAGAAACATTCTCAGAAACTCCTTTATGACGTATGCACTCACCTAACAGAGAAGAACCTTCCTTTTGACAGAGCAGTTTTGATACACTCTTTTTGTAGAATCTGCAAGTGGATATTTGGATAGCTGTGAAGATTTCGTTGGAAACGGGAATATCTTCCTATAAAATCTAGACAATAACATTCTCAGGAACTGCTCTGTGATGTCTGCATTCAAGTCACAGAGTTGAACATTGCCTTTCCTAGAGCAAATTTGAAACGCTCTTTTTGTAGTATATGGAAGTGGACGTTTCGGACGGTTTGAGGCCCATGGTGATAAAGGGAATATCTTCCCCTACAAGCTAGAAAGAAGCATTCTGTGAAACTTGTTTGTGATGTGTGTACTCAACTAACAGAGTTGAACCTTTCTTTTTACAGAGCAGTTTTGAAACACTCTTTTTGTAGAATCTGCGAGGGGATATTTGGATAGATTTCAGGATTTCGTTGGAAACGGGAATATCTTAATATAAAATCTCGACAGAAGCATTCTCAGAAACTTCTTTGTGATATCTGCATTCAAGTCACAGAGTTGAATATTCCCTTTCACAGAGTAGGTTTGAAACACTCTTTTTGTAGTATCTGGAAGTGGACATTTGGAGCGCCGTGACGCCTACGGTGAAAAGGAAAATATCTTCCCATAAAAACTAGACAGAAGGAATCTCAGAATCTTCTTTGGGATATATGCACGCAGCTAACAGAGTTGAACCTTTCTATTGACAGAGCAGTTTTGAAACAGTCTTTCTGTGGAATCTGCAAGTGGATATTTGGATAGCTTGGAGGATTTCGTTGGAAACGGGATTACGTATAAAAAGTAGACAGCAGCATCCTCAGAAACTTCTTTGTGATGTGTGCATTCAAGTCACAGATTTGAACATTCCCTTTCGTACAGCAGTTTTGAAACACTCTTTCTGTCGTATCTGGAAGTGAACATTAGGACAGCTTTCAGCTCTATGGTGAGAAAGGAAATATCTTCAAATAAAAACTAGACAGAAGCATTCTCATAAACTTGTTTGTGATGTGTGAACTCAGCTAACAGAGGTGAATCTTTCTTTTGATAGAGCAGTTCTGAAAAACACTTTTTGTTGAATCTGCAAGTGGACATTTGGATAGATTTGAAGATTTCGTTGGAAACGGGAATATCTTCATATCAAATCTAGACAGAAGCATTCTCAGAAACGTCTTTGTGATGTTTGCATTCAAGTCATAGAGTTGAACATTCCGTTTCAGAGAGCAGCTTTGAAGCACTCTTTTTGTAGTATGTGCAAGTGGATATTTGGAGCGCTCTGAGACCTACGGGTGAAAAAGCAAATATCTTCCCATAACCACTAGACAGAAACATTCTCAGAAACTCCTTTATGACGTATGTACTCAACTAACAGAGGAGAACCTTCCTTTTGACAGAGCAGTTTTGATACACTCTTTTTGTAGAATCTGCAAGTGGATATTTGGATAGCTTGGAAGATTTCGTTGGAAAAGGGAATATCTTCCTATAAAACCTAGACAAAAGCATTCTCAGAAACTGCTCTGTGATGTCTGCATTCAAGTCACAGAGTTGAACATTGCCTTTCATAGAGCAGGTTTGAAACGCTCTTTTTGTAGTATATGGAAGTGGACTTATCGGACGGTTGGAGGCCCATGGTGATAAAGGGAATATCTTCCCCTACAAGCTAGAAAGAAGCATTCTGTGAAACTTGTTTGTGATGTGTGTACTCAACTAACAGAGTTGAACCTTTCTTTTTACAGAGCAGTTTTGAAACATTCTTTTTGTAGAATCTGCGAGGGGATATTTGGATAGATTTCAGGATTTCGTTGGAAACGGGAATATCTTCATATAAAATCTCGACAGAAGCATTCTCAGAAACTTCTTTGTGATATGTGCATTCAAGTCACAGAGTTGAATATTCCCTTTCACAGAGTAGGTTTGAAACACTCTTTTTGTAGTATCTGGAAGTGGACATTTGGAGCGCCTTGACACCTACGGTGAAAAGGGAAATATCTTCCCATAAAAACTAGACAGAAGCAATCTCAGAATCTTCTTTGGGATATATGCACGCAGCTCACAAAGTTGAACCTTTCTATTGACAGAGCAGTTTTGAAACAGTCTTTCTGTGGAATCTGCAAGTGGATATTTGGATAGCTTGGAGGATTTCGTTGGAAACGGGATTACGTATAAAAATTAGACAGCAGCATCCTCAGAAACATCCTTGTGATGTGTGCATTCAAGTCACAGAGTTGAACATTCCCTTTCGTACAGCAGTTTTGAAACACTCTTTCTGTAGTATCTGGAAGTGAACTTTAGGACAGCTTTCAGGTCTATAGTGAGAAAGGTTATATCTTCAAATAAAAACTAGACAGAAGCATTCTGATAAACTTGTTTGTGAAGTGTGATCTCAGCTAACAGAGGTGGATCTTTCTTTTGATAGAGCAGTTCTGAAAAACACTTTGTTGAATCTGCAAGTGGACATTTGGATAGATTTGAAGATTTCGTTGTAAACGGGAATATCTTCATATCAAATCTAGACAGAAGCAGTCTCAGAAACGTCTTTGTGATGTTTGCATTCAACTCATAGAGTTGAACATTCCGTTTCAGAGAGCAGCTTTGAAGCACTCTTTTTGTAGTATGTGCAAGTGGATATTTGGAGCGCTCTGAGGCCTACGGTGAAAAAGCAAATATCTTCCCTTAACCACTAGACAGAAACATTCTCAGAAACTCCTTTATGACGTATGTACTCAACTAACAGAAGAAGAACCTTCCTTTTGACAGAGCAGTTTTGATACACTCTTTTTGTAGAATCTGCAAGTGGATATTTGGATAGCTGTGAAGATTTCGTTGGAAACGGGAATATCTTCCTATAAAATCTAGACAGAAGCATTCTCAGAAACTGCTCTGTGATGTGTGCATTCAAGTCACAGAGTTGAACATTGCCTTTCATAGAGCAGGTTTGAAACGCTCTTTTTTGTAGTATATGGAAGTGGACGTTTCGGACGGTTTGAGGCCCATGGTGATAAAGGGAATATCTTCCCCTACCAGCTAGAAAGAAGCATTCTGTGAAACTTGTTTGTGATGTGTGTACTCAACTAACAGAGTTGAACCTTTCTTTTTACAGAGCAGTTTTGAAACACTCTTTTTGTAGAATCTGCGTGGGGATATTTGGATAGATATCAGGATTTCCTTGGAAACGGGAATATCTTCTTTGAAAATCTCGGCAGAAGCATTCTCAGAAACTTCATTGTGATATCTGCATTCAAGTCACAGAGTTGAATATTCCCTTTCACAGAGTAGGTTTGAAACACTCTTTTTGTAGTATCTGGAAGTGGACATTTGGAGCGCCTTGACACCTACGGTGAAAAGGGAAATATCTTCCCATAAAAGCTAGACAGAAGCAATCTCAGAATCTTCTTTGGGATATATGCACGCAGCTAACAGAGTTGAACATTTCTATTGACAGAGCAGTTTTGAAACAGTCTTTCTGTGGAATCTGCAAGTGGATATTTGGATAGCTTGGAGGATTTCGTTGGAAACGGGATTACGTATAAAAAGTAGACAGCAGCATCCTCAGAAACTTCTTTGTGATGTGTGCATTCAAGTCACAGAGTTGAACATTCCCTTTCGTACAGCAGTTTTGAAACACTCTTTCTGTAGTATCTGGAAGTGAACATTAGGACAGCTTTCAGCTCTGTGGTGAAAAAGGAAATATCTTCAAATAAAAACTAGACAGAAGCATTCTCATAAACTTGTTTGTGATGTGTGAACTCAGCTAACAGACGTGGATCTTTCTTTTGATAGAGCAGTTTTGAAAAACCCTTTTTGTTGAATCTGCAAGTGGACATTTGGATAGATTTGAAGATTTCGTTGGAAACGGGAATATCTTCATATCAAATCTAGACAGAAGCATTCTCAGAAACGTCTTTGTGATGTTTGCATTCAACTCATAGAGTTGAACATTCCGTTTCAGAGAGCAGCTTTGAAGCACTCTTTTTGTAGTATGTGCAAGTGGATATTTGGAGCGCTGTGAAGCCTACGGTGAAAAAGCAAATATCTTCCCATAACCACTAGACAGAAACATTCTCAGAAATTCCTTTATGACGTATGTACTCAAGTAACAGAGAAGAACCTTCCTTTTGACAGAGCAGTTTTGATAAACTCTTTTTGTAGAATCTGCAAGTGGATATTTGGATAGCTGTGAAGATTTCGTTGGAAACGGGAATATCTTCCTATAAAATCTAGACAGAAGCATTCTCAGAAACTGCTCTGTGATGTCTGCATTCAAGTCACAGAGTTGAACATTGCCTTTCATAGAGCAGGTTTGAAACACTCTTTTTTTAGTATATGGAAGTGGACGTTTCGGACGGTTTGAGGCCCATGGTGATAAAGGAAATATCTTCCCCTACAAGCTAGAAAGAAGCATTCTGTGAAACTTGTTTGTGAAGTGTGTACTCAAGTAACAGAGTTGAACCTTTCTTTTTACAGAGCAGTTTTGAAACACTCTTTTTGTAGAATCTGCGAGGGGATATTTGGATAGATTTCAGGATTTCGTTGGAAACGGGAATATCTTCATATAAAATCTCGACAGAAGCATTCTCAGAAACTTCTTTGTGATATGTGCATTCAAGTCACAGAGTTGAATATTCCCTTTCACAGAGTACGTTTGAAACACTCTTTTTGTAGTATCTGGAAGTGGACATTTGGAGCGCCTTGACGCCTACGGTGAAAAGGGAAATATCTTCCCATAAAAACTAGACAGAAGCAATCTCAGAATCTTCTTTGGGATATATGCACGCAGCTAACAGAGTTGAACCTTTCTATTGACAGAGCAGCTTTGAAACAGTCTTTCTGTGGAATCTGCAAGTGGATATTTGGATAGCTTGGAGGATTTCGTTGGAAACGGGATTACGTATAAAAAGTAGACAGCAGCATCCTCAGAAACTTCTTTGTGATGTGTGCATTCAAGTCACAGAGTTGAACATTCCCTTTCGTACAGCAGTTTTGAAACACTCTTTCTGTAGTATCTGGAAGTGAACATTAGGACAGCTTTCAGCTCTATGGTGAGAAAGGAAATATTTTCAAATAAAAACTAGACAGAAGCATTCTCATAAACTTGTTTGTGATGTGTGAACTCAGCTAACAGAGGTGGATCTTTCTTTTGATAGAGCAGTTCTGAAAAACACTTTTTGTTGAATCTGCAAGTGGACATTTGGATAGATTTGAAGATTTCCTTGGAAACGGGAATATCTTCATATCAAATCTAGACAGAAGAATTCTCAGAAACGTCTTTGTGATGTTTGCATTCAACTCATAGAGTTCAACATTCCCTTTCAGAGAGCAGCTTTGAAGCACTCTTTTTGTAGTATGTGCAAGTGGATATTTGGAGCGCTCTGAGGCCTACGGTGAAAAATCAAATATCTTCCCATAACCACTAGACAGAAACATTCTCAGAAACTCCTTTATGACGTATGCACTCACCTAACAGAAAAGAACCTTCCTTTTGACAGAGCAGTTTTGATACACTCTTTTTGTAGAATCTGCAAGTGGATATTTGGATAGCTGTGAAGATTTCGTTGGAAACGGGAATATCTTCCTATAAAATCTAGACAGAAGCATTCTCAGAAACTGCTCTGTGATGTCTGCATTCAAGTCACAGAGTTGAACATTGCCTTTCCTAGAGCAGGTTTGAAACGCTCTTTTTGTAGTATATGGAAGTTGACGTTTCGGAAGGTTTGAGGCCCATGGTGATAAAGGGAATATCTTCCCCTACAAGCTAGAAAGAAGCATTCTGTGAAACTTGTTTGTGATATGTGTACTCAACTAACAGAGTTGAACCTTTCTTTTTACAGAGCAGTTTTGAAACACTCTTTCTGTAGAATCTGCGAGGGGATATTTGGATAGATTTCAGGATTTCGTTGGAAACGGGAATATCTTCATATAAAATCTCGACAGAAGCATTCTCAGAAACTTCTTTGTGATATGTGCATTCAAGTCACAGAGTTGAATATTCCCTTTCACAGAGTAGGTTTGAAACACTCTTTTTGTAGTATCTGGAAGTGGACATTTGGAGCGCCTTGACGCCTATGGTGAAAAGGGAAATATCTTCCCATGAAAACTAGACAGAAGCAATATCAGAATCTTCTTTGGGATATATGCACGCAGCTAACAGAGTTGAACCTTTCTATTGACAGAGCAGTTTTGAAACAGTCTTTCTGTGGAATCTGCAAGTGGATATTTGGATAGCTTGGAGGATTTCTTTGGAAACGGGATTACGTATAAAAAGTAGACAGCAGCATCCTCAGAAACATCCTTGTGATGTGTGCATTCAAGTCACAGAAGTTGAACATTCCCTTTCGAACAGCAGTTTTGAAACACTCTTTCTGTAGTATCTGGAAGTGAACTTTAGGAGAGCTTTCAGGTCTATAGTGAGAAAGGATATATCTTCAAATAAAAACTAGACAGAAGCATTCTGATAAACTTGTTTGTGAAGTGTGATCTCAGCTAACAGAGGTGGATCTTTCTTTTGATAGAGCAGTTCTGAAAAACGCTTTGTTGAATCTGCAAGTGGACATTTGGATAGATTTGAAGATTTCGTTGGAAACGGGAATATCTTCATATCAAATCTAGACAGAAGCATTCTCAGAAACGTCTTTGCGATGTTTGCATTCAACTCATAGAGTTGAACATTCCCTTTCAGAGACCAGCTTTGAAGCACTCTTTTTGTAGTATGTGCAAGTGGATATTTGGAGCGCTCTGAGGCCTACGGTGAAAAAGCAAATATCTTCCCATAACCACTAGACAGAAACATTCTCAGAAACTTCTTTATGACGTATGTACTCAAGTAGCAGAGAAGAACTTTCCTTTTGACCGAGCATTTTTGATACACTCTTTTTGTACTATCTGCAAGTGGATATTTGGATAGCTGTGAAGATTTCGTTGGAAACGGGAATATCTTCCTATAAAGTCTGGACAGAAGCATTCTCAGAAACTGCTCTGTGATGTCTGCATTCAAGTCACAGAGTTGAACATTGCCTTTCATAGAGCAGGTTTGAAACACTCTTTTTTTAGTATATGGAAGTGGACGTTTCGGACGGTTTGAGGACCATGGTGATAAAGGAAATATCTTCCCCTACAAGCTAGAAAGAAGCATTCTGTGAAACTTGTTTGTGATGTGTGTACTCAACTAACAGAGTTGAACCTTTCTTTTTACAGATCAGTGTTGAAACACTCTTTTTGTGGAATCTGCGAGGGGATATTTGGATAGATTTCAGGATTTCGTTGGAAACGGGAATATCTTCATATAAAATCTCGACGGAAGCATTCTCAGAAACTTCTTTGTGACATCTGCCTTTAAGTCACAGAGTTGAATATTCCCTTTCACAGAGTAGGTTTGAAACACTCTTTTTGTAGTATCTGGAAGTGGACATTTGGAGCGCCTTGACACCTACGGTGAAAAGGGAAATATCTTCCCATAAAAACTAGACAGAAGCAATCTCAGAATCTTCTTTGGGATATATGCACACAGCTAACAGAGTTGAACCTTTCTATTGACAGAGCAGTTTTGAAACAGTCTTTCTGTGGAATCTGCAAGTGGATATTTGGATAGCTTGGAGGATTTCGTTGGAAACGGGATTAAGTATAAAAAGTAGACAGCAGCATCCTCAGAAACTTCTTTGTGATGTGTGCATTCAAGTCACAGAGTTGAATATTCCCTTTCGTACAGCAGTTTTGAAACACTCTTTCTGTAGCATCTGGAAGTGAACATTAGGACAGCTTTCAGGTCTATGGTGAGAAAGGAAATATCTTCAAATAAAAACTAGACAGAAGCATTCTCATAAACTTGTTTGTGATGTGTGAACTCAGCTAACAGAGGTGTATCTTTCCTTTGATAGAGCAGTTCTGAAAAACACGTTTTGTTGAATCTGCAAGTGGACATTTTGATAGATTTGAAGATTTCGTTGCAAACGGGAATATCTTCATATCAAAGCTAGACAGAAGCATTCTCAGAAACGTCTTTGTGATGTTTGCATTCAACTCATAGAGTTGAACATTCCCTTTCAGAGAGCAGCTTTGAAGCACTCTTTTTAAGTATGTGCAAGTGGACATTTGGAGCGCTTTGAGGCCTACGGGGAAAAAGTAAATATCTTACCATAACCCCTAGACAGAAACATTCTCAGAAACTTCTTTATCACGTATGTACTCAACTAAAACAGAAGAACCTTCCTTTTGAGAGAGCAGTTTTGATACACTCCATTGGAGAATCTGCAAGTGGATATTTGGATAGCTGTGAAGAATTCGTTGGAAACGGGAATACCTTCCTATAAAATCTAGACAGAAGCATTCTCAGAAACTGCTCTGTGATGTCTGCATTCAAGTCACAGTAGTTGAACATTGTCTTTCATAGAGCAGGTTTGAAGCGCTCTTTTTGTAGTATATGGAAGTGGACGTTTCGGACGGTTTGAGGCCCATGGTGATAAAGGGAATATCTTCCCCTACAAGCTAGAAAGAAGCATTCTGTGAAACTTGTTTGTGATGTGTGTACTCAACTAACAGAGTTGAACCTTTCTTTTTACAGAGCAGTTTTGAAACACTCTTTTTGTAGAATCTGCGAGGGGATATTTGGAGAGATTTCAGGATTTTGTTGGAAACGGAAATATCTTCATATAAAATCTCGACAGAAGCATTCTCAGAAACTTCCTTGTGATATGTGCATTCAAGTCACAGAGTTGAATGTTCCCTTTCACAGAGTAGGTTTGAAACACTCTTTTTGTAGTATCTGGAAATGGACATTTGGAGCGCCTTGACGCCTACGGTGAAAAGGGAAATATCTTCCCATCAAAACTAGACAGAAGCAATCTCAGAATCTTCTTTGGGATATATGCACGCAGCTAACAGAGTTGAACCTTTCTATTGACAGAGCAGTTTTGAAACAGTCTTTCTGTGGAATCTGCAAGTGGATATTTGGATAGCTTGGAGTATTTCGTTGGAAACGGGATTAAGTATAAAAAGTAGACAGCAGCATCCTCAGAAACTTCTTTGTGATGTGTGCATTCAAGTCACAGAGTTGAACATTCCCTTTCGTACAGCAGTTTTGAAACACTCTTTCTGTAGTAACTGGAACTGAACATTAGGACAGCTTTCAGGTCTATGGTGAGAAAGGAAATATCTTCAAATAAAAACTAGACAGAAGCATTCTCATAAACTTGTTTGTGATGTGTGAACTCAGCTTAGAGACGTGGATCTTTCTTTTGATAGAGCAGTTCTGAAAAACACGTTTTGTTGAATCTGCAAGTGGACATTTGGATAGATTTGAAGATTTCGTTGGAAACGGGAATATCTTCATATCAAATCTAGACAGAAGCATTCTCAGAAACGTCTTTGTGATGTTTGCATTCAACTCATAGAGTTGAACATTCCGTTTCAGAGAGCAGCTTTGAAGCACTCTTTTTGTAGTATCTGCAAGTGGATATTTGGAGCGCTCTGAGGCCTACGGTGAAAAAGCAAATATCTTCCCATAACCGCTAGACAGAAACATTCTCAGAAACTCCTTTATGACGTATGTACTCAACTAAGAGAGAAGAACCTTCCTTTTGACAGAGCAGTTTTGATACACTCTTTTTGTAGAATCTGCAAGTGGATATTTGGATAGCTGTGAAGATTTCGTTGCAAACGGGAATATCTTCCTATAAAATCTAGACAGAAGCATTCTCAGAAACTGCTCTGTGATGTCTGCATTCAAGTCACAGAGTTCAACATTGCCTTTCATAGAGCAGGTTTGAAACGCTCTTTTTGTAGTATATGGAAGTGGACGTTTCGGACGGTTTGAGGCCCATGGTGATAAAGGGAATATCTTCCCCTACAAGCTAGAAAGAAGCATTCTGTGAAACTTGTTTGTGATGTGTGTACTCAACTAACAGAGTTGAACCTTTCTTTTTACAGAGCAGTGTTGAAACACTCTTTTTGTGGAATCTGCGAGGGGATATTTGGATAGATTTCAGGATTTCGTTGGAAACGGGAATATCTTCATATAAAATCTCGACGGAAGCATTCTCAGAAACTTCTTTGTGATATCTGCATTGAAGTCACAGAGTTGAATATTCCCTTCCACAGAGTAGGTTTGAAAGACTCTTTTTGTAGTATCTGGAAGTGGACATTTGGAGCGCCTTGACGCCTACGGTGAAAAGGGAAATATCTTCCCATAAAAACTAGACAGAAGCAATCTCAGTAATCTTCTTTGGGATATATGTACGCAGCTAACAGAGTTGAACCTTTCTATTGACAGAGCAGTTTTGAAACAGTCTTTCTGTGGAATCTGCAAGTGGATATTTGGATAGCTTGGAGGATTTCGTTGGAAACGGGATTACGTATAAAAAGTAGACAGCCGCATCCTCAGAAACTTCTTTGTGATGTGTGCATTCAAGTCACAGAGTTGAACATTCCCTTTCGTACAGCAGTTTTGAAACACTCTTTCTGTAGTATCTGGAAGTGAACATTAGGACAGCTTTCAGGTCTATGGTGAGAAAGGAAATATCTTCAAATAAAAACTAGACAGAAGCATTCTGATAAACTTGTTTGTGAAGTGTGATCTCAGCTAACAGAGGTGGATCTTTCTTTTGATAGAGCAGTTCTGAAGAACACTTTGTTGAATCTGGAAGTGGACATTTGGATAGATTTGAAGATTTCGTTGGAAACGGGAATATCTTCATATCAAATCTAGACAGAAGCATTCTCAGAAACGTCTTTGTGATGTTTGCATTCAACTCATAGAGTTGAACATTCCGTTTCAGAGAGCAGCTTTGAAGCACTCTTTTTGTAGTATGTGCAAGTGGATATTTGGAGCGCTCTGAGGCCTACGGTGAAAAAGCAAATATCTTCCCATAACCACTAGACAGAAGCATTCTCAGAAACTCCTTTATGACGTATGCACTCACCTAACAGAAAAGAACCTTCCTTTTGACAGAGCAGTTTTGATACACTCTTTTTGTAGAATCTGCAAGTGGATATTTGGATAGCTGTGAAGATTTCGTTGGAAACGGGAATATCTTCCTATAAAATACTAGACAGAAGCATTCTCAGAAACTGCTCTGTGATGTCTGCATTCAAGTCACAGAGTTGAACATTGCCTTTCCTAGAACAGGTTTGAAACGCTCTTTTTGTAGTATATGGAAGTGGACGTTTCGGACGGTTTGAGGCCCATGGTGATAAAGGGAATATCTTCCCCTACAAGCTAGAAGGAAGCATTCTGTGAAACTTGTTTGTGATGTGTGTACTCAACTAACAGAGTTGAACCTTTCTTTTCACAGAGCAGTTTTGAAACACTCTTTTTGTAGAATCTGCGAGGGGAAATTTGGATAGAATTCAGGATTTCGTTGGAAACGGGAATATCTTCATACAAAATCTCGACAGAAGCATTCTCAAAAACTTCTTTGTGATATGTGCATTCAAGTCACAGAGTTGAATATTCCCTTTCACAGAGTAGGTTTGAAACACTCTTTTTGTAGTATCTGGAAGTGGACATTTGGAGCGCCTTGACACCTACCGTGAAAAGGGAAATATCTTCCCATAAAAACTAGACAGAAGCAATCTCAGAATCTTCTTTGGGATATATGCACGCAGCTAACAGAGTTGAACCTTTCTATTGACAGAGCAGTTTTGAAACAGTCTTTCTGTGGAATCTGCAAGTGGATATTTGGATAGCTTGGAGGATTTCGTTGGAAACGGGATTACGTATAAAAAGTAGACAGCAGCATCCTCAGAAACTTCTTTGTGATGTGTGCATTCAAGTCACAGAGTTGAACATTCCTTTTCGTACAGCAGTTTTGAAACACTCTTTCTGTAGTACCTGGAAGTGAACATTAGGACAGCTTTCAGCTCTATGGTGAGAAAGGAAATATCTTCAAATAAAAACTAGACAGAAAGCATTCTCATAAACTTGTTTGTGATGTGTGAACTCAGCTAACAGAGGTGGATCTTTCTTTTGATACAGCAGTTTTGAAAAACACTTTTTGTTGAATCCGCAAGTGGACATTTGGATAGATTTGAAGATTTCATTGGAAACGGGAATATCTTCATATCAAATCTAGACAGAAGCATTCTCAGAAACGTCTTTGTGATGTTTGCATTCAACTCATAGAGTTGAACATTCCGTTTCAGAGAGCAGCTTTGAAGCTCTCTTTTTGTAGTATGTGCAAGTGGATATTTGGAGCGCTCTGAGGCCTACGGTGAAAAAGCAAATATCTTCCCATAACCACTAGACAGAAACATTCTCAGAAACTCCTTTATGACGTATGCACTCACCTAACTGAGAAGAACCTTCCTCTTGACAGAGCAGTTTTGATACACTCTTTTTGTAGAATCTGCAAGTGGATATTTGGATAGCTGTGAAGATTTCGTTGAAAACGGGAATATCTTCCTATAAAATCTAGACAGAAGCATTCTCAGAAACTGCTCTGTGATGTCTGCATTCAAGTCACAGAGTTGAACATTGCCTTTCATAGAGCAGGTTTGAAACGCTCTTTTCGTAGTATATGGAAGTGGACGTTTCGGACGGTTTGAGGCCCATGGTGATAAAGTGAATATCTTCCCCTACCAGCTAGAAGGAAGCATTCTGTGAAACTTGTTTGTGATGTGTGTACTCAACTAACAGAGTTGAACCTTCCTTTTCACAGAGCAGTTTTGAAACACTCTTTTTGTAGAATCTGCGAGGGGATATTTGGATAGATTTCAGGATTTCGTTGGAAACGGGAATATCTTCATATAAAATCTCGACAGAAGCATTCTCAGAAACTTCTTTGTGATATCTGCATTCAAATCACTGAGTTGAATATTCCCTTTCACAGAGTAGGTTTGAAACACTCTTTTTGTAGTATCTGGAAGTGGACATTTGGAGCGCCTTGACGCCTACGGTGAAAAGGGAAATATCTTCCCATAAAAACTAGACAGAAGCAATCTCAGAATCTTCTTTGGGATATATGGACACAGCTAACAGAGTTGAACCTTTCTATTGACAGAGCAGTTTTGAAACAGTCTTTCTGTGGAATCTGCAAGTGGATATTTGGATAGCTTGGAGGATTTCGTTGGAAACGGGATTACGTATAAAAAGTAGACAGCAGCATCCTCAGAAACTTCTTTGTGATGTGTGCATTCAAGTTACAGAGTTGAACATTCCCTTTCGTACAGCAGTTTTGAAACACTCTTTCTGTAGTATCTGGAAGTGAACATTAGGACAGCTTTCAGGTCTATGGTGAGAAAGGAAATATCTTCAAATAAAAACTAGACAGAAGCATTCTCATAAACTTGTTCGTGATGTGTGAACTCAGCTAACACACGTCGATCATTCTTTTGATAGAGCAGTTCTGAAAAACACTTTTTGTTGAATCTGCAAGAGGACATTTGGATAGATTTGAAGATTTCGTTGGAAACGGGAATATCTTCATATCAAATCTAGACAGAAGCATTCTCAGAAACGTCTTTGTGATGTTTGCATTCAACTCATAGAGTTGAACATTCCGTTTCAGAGAGCAGGTTTGAAGCACTCTTTTTGTAGTATGTGCAAGTGGATATTTGGAGCGCTCTGAGGCCTACGGTGAAAAAGCAAATATCTTCCCATAACCACTAGACAGAAACATTCTCAGAAACTCCTTTATGACGTATGCACTCACCTAACAGAGAAGAACCTTCCTTTTGACAGAGCAGTTTTGATACACTCTTTTTGTAGAATCTGCAAGTGGATATTTGGATACCTGTGAAGATTTCGTTGGAAACGGGAATATCTTCCTATAAAATCTATACAGAAGCATTCTCAGAAACTGCTCTGTGATGTCTGCATTCAAGTCACAGAGTTGAACATTGCCTTTCATAGAGCAGGTTTGAAATGCTCTTTTTGTAGTATATGGAAGTGGACGTTTCGGACGGTTTGAGGACCATGGTGATAAAGGGAATATCTTCCCCTACAAGCTAGAAAGAAGCATTCTGTGAAACTTGTTTGTGATGTGTGTACTCAACTAACAGAGTTGAACCTTTCTTTTTACAGAGCAGTTTTGAAACACTCTTTTTGTAGAATCTGCGAGGGGATATTTGGATACATTTCAGGATTTCGTTGGAAACGGGAATATCTTCATATAAAATCTCGACAGAAGCATTCTCAGAAACTTCTTTGTGATATGTGCATTCAAGTCACAGAGTTGAATATTCCCTTTCACGGAGTAGGTTTGAAACACTCTTTTTGTAGTATCTGGAAGTGGACATTTGGAGCGCCTTGACGCCTACGGTGAAAAGGGAAATATCTTCCCATAAAAACTAGACAGAAGCAATCTCAGAATCTTCTTTGGGATATATGCACGCAGCTAACAGAGTTGAACCTTTCTATTGACAGAGCAGTTTTGAAACAGTCTTTCTGTGGAATCTGCAAGTGGATATTTGGATAGCTTGGAGGATTTCGTTGGAAACGGGATTACGTATCAAAAGTAGACAGCAGCATCCTCAGAAACTTCTTTGTGATGTGTGCATTCAAGTCACAGAGTTGAACATTCCCTTTCGTACAGCAGTTTTGAAACACTCTTTCTGTAGTATCTGGAAGTGAACATTAGGACAGCTTTCAGGTCTATGGTGAGAAAGGAAATATCTTCAAATAAAAACCAGACAGAAGCATTCTCATAAACTTGTTTGTGATGTGTGAACTCAGCTAACACACGTGGATCTTTCTTTTGATAGAGCAGTTCTGAAAAACACTTTTTGTTGAATCTGCAAGTGGACATTTGGATAGATTTGAAGATTTCGTTGGAAACGGGAATATCTTCATATCAAATCTAGACAGAAGCATTCTCAGAAACGTCTTTGTGATGTTTGCATTCAACTCATAGAGTTGAACATTCCCTTTCAGAGAGCAGCTTTGAAGCACTCTTTTTGTAGTATGTGCAAGTGGATATTTGGAGCGCTCTGAGGCCTACGGTGAAAAAGCAAATATCATCCCATAACCACTAGACAGAAGCATTCTGATAAACTTGTTTGTGAAGTGTGAACTCAGCTAACGGAGGTGGATTTTTCTTTTGATAGAGCAGTTCTGAAAAACACTTTTTGTTGAATCTGCAAGTGGACATTTGGATAGATTTGAAGATTTCGTTGGAAACGGGAATATCTTCATATCAAATCTAGACAGAAGCATTCTCAGAAACTGCTCTGTGATGTCTGCATTCAAGTCACAGAGTTGAACATTGCCTTTCATAGAGCAGGTTTGAAACGCTCTTTTTGTAGTATATGGAAGTGGACGTTTCGGACGGTTTGAGGCCCATGGTGATAAAGGGAATATCTTCCCCTACAAGCTAGAAAGAAGCATTCTGTGAAACTTGTTTGTGATGTGTGTACTCAACTAACAGAGTTGAACCTTTGTTTTTACAGAGCAGTTTTGAAACACTCTTTTTGTAGAATCTGCGAGGGGATATTTGGATACATTTCAACATTTCGTTGGAAACGGGAATATCTTCATATAAAATCTCGACAGAAGCATTCTCAGAAACTTCCTTGTGATATGTGCATTCAAGTCACAGAGTTGAATATTCCCTTTCACAGAGTAGGTTTGAAACACTCTTTTTGTAGTATCTGGAAGTGGACATTTGGAGCGCCTTGACACCTACGGTGAAAAGGGAAATATCTTCCCATAAAAACTAGACAGAAGCAATCTCAGAATCTTCTTTGGGATATATGCACGCAGCTAACAGAGTTGAACCTTTCTATTGACAGAGCAGTTTTGAAACAGTCTTTCTGTGGAATCTGCAAGTGGATATTTGGATAGCTTGGAGGATTTCGTTGAAAACGGGATTACGTATAAAAAGTAGACAGCAGCATCCTCAGAAACTTCTTTGTGATGTGTGCATTCAAGTCACAGAGTTGAACATTCCGTTTCATACAGCAGTTTTGAAACACTCTTTCTGTAGTATCTGGAAGTAAACATTACGACAGCTTTCAGGTCTATGGTGAGAAAGGAAATATCTTCAAATAAAAACTAGACAGAAGCATTCTCATAAACTTGTTTGTGATGTGTGAACTCAGCTAACAGAGGTGGATCTTTCTTTTGATAGAGCAATTCTGAAAAACACTTTTTGTTGAATCTGCAAGTGGACATTTGGATAGATTTGAAGATTTCGTTGGAAACGGGAATATCTTCATATCAAATCTAGACAGAAGCATTCTCAGAAACGTCTTTGCGATGTTTGCATTCAACTCATAGAGTTGAACATTCCGTTTCAGAGAGCAGCTTTGAGGCACTCTTTTTGTAGTATGTGCAAGTGGATATTTGGAGCGCTCTGAGGCCTACGGTGAAAAAGCAAATATCTTCCTATAACCACTAACAGAAACATTCTCAGAAACTCCTTTATGACGTATGCACTCACCTAACAGAAAAGAACCTTCCTTTTGACAGAGCAGTTTTGATACACTCTTTTTCTAGAATCTGCAAGAGGATATTTGGATAGCTGTGAAGATTTCGTTGGAAACGGGAATATCTTCCTATAAAATCTAGACAGAAAGCATTCTCAGAAACTGCTCTGTGATGTCTGCATTCAAGTCACAGAGTTGAACATTGCCTTTCGTAGAGCAGGTTTGAAACGCTCTTTTTGTAGTATATGGAAGTGGACGTTTCGGACGGTTTGAGGCCCATGGTGATAAAGGGAATATCTTCCCCTACAAGCTAGAAAGAAGCATTCTGTGAAACTTGTTTGTGATGTGTGTACTCAACTAACAGAGTTGAACCTTTCTTTTTGCAGAGCAGTTTTGAAACACTCTTTTTGTAGAATCTGCGAGGGGAAATTTGGATAGATTTCAGGATTTCGTTGGAAACGGGAATATCTTCATACAAAATCTCGACAGAAGCATTCTCAGAAACTTCTTTATGATATCTGCATTCAAGTCACAGAGTTGAATATTCCCTTTCACAGAGTAGGTTTGAAACACTCTTTTTATAGTATCTGGAAGTGGACATTTGGAGCGCCTTGACCCCTACGGTGAAAAGGGAAATATCTTCCCATAAAAACTAGACAGAAGCAATCTCAGAATTTTCTTTGGGATATATGCACACAGCTAACAGAGTTGAACTTTTCTATTGACATAGCAGTTTTGAAACAGTCTTTCTGTGGAATCTGCAAGTGGATATTTGGATAGCTTGGAGGATTTCGTTGGAAATGGGATTACGTATAAAAAGTAGACAGCAGCATCCTCAGAAACTTCTTTGTGATGTGTGCATTCAAGTCACAGAGTTGAACATTCCCTTTCGTGCAGCAGTTTTGAAACACTCTTTCTGTAGTAACTGGAAGTGAACATTAGGACAGCTTTCAGGTCTATGGTGAGAAAGGAAATATCTTCAAATAAAAACTAGACAGAAGCATTCTCATAAACTTGTTTGTGATGTGTGAACTCAGCTAAGAGAGGTGGATCTTTCTTTTGATAGAACAGTTCTGAAAAACACTTTTTGTTGAATCTGCAAGTGGACATTTGGATAGATTTGAAGATTTCGTTGGAAACGGGAATATCTTCATATCAAATCTAGACAGAAGCATTCTCAGAAACGTCTTTGCGATGTTTGCATTCAACTCATAGAGTTGAACATTCCGTTTCAGAGAGCAGCTTTGAGGCACTCTTTTTGTAGTATGTGCAAGTGGATATTTGGAGCGCTCTGAGGCCTAAGGTGAAAAAGCAAATATCTTCCCATAACCACTAGACAGAAACATTCTCAGAAACTCCTTTATGACGTATGCACTCACCTAACAGAGAAGAACCTTCCTTTTGACAGAGCAGTTTTGATACACTCTTTTTGTAGAATCTGCAAGTGGATATTTGGATAGCTGTGAAGATTTCGTTGGAAACGGGAATATCTTCCTATAAAATGCTAGACAGAAGCATTCTCCGAAACTGCTCTGAGATGTCTGCATTCAAGTCACAGAGTTGAACATTGCCTTTCATAGAGCAGGTTTCAAACACTCTTTTTTTAGTATATGGAAGTGGATGTTTCGGACGGTTTGAGGACCATGGTGATAAAGGAAATATCTTCCCCTACATGCTAGAAAGAAGCATTCTGTGAAACTTGTTTGTGATGTGTGTACTCAACTAACAGAGTTGAACCTTTCTTTTTACAGAGCAGTTTTGAAACACTCTTTTTGTAGAATCTGCGTGGGGATATTTGGATAGATTTCAGGATTTCGTTGGAAACGGGAATATCTTCATATAAAATCTCGACAGAAGCATTCTCAGAAACTTCTTTGTGATATGTGCATTCAAGTCACAGAGTTGAATATTCCCTTTCACAGAGTAGGTTTGAAACACTCTTTTTGTAGTATCTGGAAGTGGACATTTGGAGCGCCTTGACGCCTACGGTGAAAAGGGAAATATCTTCCCATGAAAACTAGACAGAAGCAATCTCAGAATCTTCTTTGGGATATATGCACGCAGCTAACAGAGTTGAACCTTTCTATTGACAGAGCAGTTTTGAAACAGTCTTTCTGTGGAATCTGCAAGTGGATATTTGGATAGCTTGGAGGATTTCGTTGGAAACGGGATTACGTATAAAAAGTAGAAAGCCAGCATCCTCAGAAACTTCTTTGTGATGTGTGCATTCAAGTCACAGAGTTGAACATTCCTTTTCGTACAGCAGTTTTGAAACACTCTTTCTGTAGTATCTGGAAGTGAACATTAGGACAGCTTTCAGCTCTATGGTGAGAAAGGAAATATCTTCAAATAAAAACTAGACAGAGCATTCTCCTAAACTTGTTTGTGATGTGTGAACTCAGCTAACAGACGTGGATCTTTCTTTTGATACAGCAGTTTTGAAAAACACATTTTGTTGAATCTGCAAGTGGACATTTGGATAGATTTGAAGATTTCGTTGGAAACGGGAATATCTTCATATCAAATCTAGACAGAAGCATTCTCAGAAACGTCTTTGCGATGTTTGCATTCAACTCATAGAGTTGAACATTCCGTTTCAGAGAGCAGCTTTGAGGCACTCTTTTTGTAGTATGTGCAAGTGGATATTTGGAGCGCTCTGAGGCCTACGGTGAAAAAGCAAATATCTTTCCATAACCACTAGACAGAAACATTCTCAGAAACTTCTTTATGACGTATGTACTCAACTAGCAGAGAAGAACTTTCCTTTTGACAGAGCATTTTTGATACACTCTTTTTGTAGTATCTGCAAGTGGATATTTGGATAGCTGTGAAGATATCGTTGGAAACGGGAATATCTTCCTATAAAGTCTGGACAGAAGCATTCTCAGAAACTGCTCTGTGATGTCTGCATTCAAGTCACAGAGTTGAACATTGCCTTTCATAGAGCAGGTTTGAAACACTCTTTTTGTAGTATTTGGAAGTGGACGTTTCGGACGGTTTGAGGCCCATGGTGATAAAGGGAATATCTTCCCCTACAAGCTAGAAAGAAGCATTCTGTGAAACTTGTTTGTGATGTGTGTACTCAACTAACAGAGTTGAACCTTTCTTTTCACAGAGCAGTTTTGAAACACTCTTTTTGTAGAATCTGCGAGGGGATATTTCGATAGATTTCAGCATTTCGTTGGAAACGGGAATATCTTCATATAAAATCTCGACAGAAGCATTCTCAGAAACTTCTTTGTGATATGTGCATTCAGGTCACAGAGTTGAATATTCCCTTTCACAGAGTAGGTTTGAAACACTCTTTTTGTAGTATCTGGAAGTGGACATTTGGAGCGCCTTGACACCTACGGTGAAAAGGGAAATATCTTCCCATAAAAACTAGACAGAAGCAATCTCAGAATCTTCTTTGGGATATATGCACGCAGCTAACAGAGTTGAACCTTTCTATTGACTGAGCAGATTTGAAACAGTCTTTCTGTGGAATCTGCAAGTGGATATTTGGATAGATTGGTGGATTTCGTTGGAAACGGGATTACGTATAAAAAGTAGACAGCAGCATCCTCAGAAACTTCTTTGTGATGTGTGCATTCAAGTCACAGAGTTGAACATTCCCTTTCGTACAGCAGTTTTGAAACACTCTTTCTGTAGTATCTGGAAGTGAACATTAGGACAGCTTTCAGGTCTATGGTGAGAAAGGAAATATCTTCAAATAAAAACTAGACAGAAGCATTTTCATAAACTTGTTTGTGATGTGTGAACTCAGCTAACAGAGGTGGATCTTTCTTTTGATAGAGCAGTTCTGAAAAACACTTTTTGTTGAATCTGCAAGTGGACATTTGGATAGCTTTGAAGATTTCGTTGGAAACGGGAATATCTTCATATCAAATCTAGACAGAAGCATTCTCAGAAACGTCTTTGTGATGTTCGCATTCAACTCATAGAGTTGAACATTCCGTTTCAGAGAGCAGGTTTGAAGCACTCTTTTTGTAGTATGTGCAAGTGGATATTTGGAGCGCTCTGAGGCCTACGGTGAAAAAGCAAATATCTTCCCATAACCACTAGACAGAAACATTCTCAGAAACTCCTTTATGACGTATGTACTCAACTAACAGAGAAGAACCTTCCTTTTGACAGAGCAGTTTTGATACACTCTTTTTGTAGAATCTGCAAGTGGATATTTGGATAGCTGTGAAGATTTCGTTGGATACGGGAATATCTTCCTATAAAATCTAGACAGAAGCATTCTCAGAACCTGCTCTTTGATGTCTGCATTCAAGTCACAGAGTTGAACATTGCCTTTCCTAGAGCAGGTTTGAAACGCTCTTTTTGTAGTATATGGAAGTGGACGTTTCGGACGGTTTGAGGCCCATGGTGATAAAGGGAATATCTTCCCCTACAAGCTAGAAAGAAGCATTCTGTGAAACTTGTTTGTGATGTGTGTACTCAACTAACAGAGTTGAACCTTTCTTTTTACAGAGCAGTTTTGAAACACTCTTTTTGTAGAATCTGCGAGGGGATATTTGAATAGATTTCAGGATTTCGTTGGAAACGGGAATATCTTCATAGAAAATCTCGACAGAAGCATTCTCAGAAACTTCTTTGTGATATCTCCCTTTAAGTCACAGAGTTGAATATTCCCTTTCACAGAGTAGGTTTGAAACACTCTTTTTGTAGTATCTGGAAGTGGACATTTGGAGCGCCTTGACACCTACGGTGAAAAGGGAAATATCTTCCCATAAAAACTAGACAGAAGCAATCTCAGAATCTTCTTTGGGATATATGCACGCAGCTAACAGAGTTGAACCTTTCTATTGACAGAGCAGTTTTGAAACAGTCTTACTGTGGAATCTGCAAGTGGATATTTGGATAGCTTGGAGGATATCTTTGGAAACGGGATTACGTATAAAAAGTAGACAGCAGCATCCTCAGAAACTTCTTTGTGATGTGTGCATTCAAGTCACAGAGTTGAACATTCCCTTTCGTACAGCAGTTTTGAAACACTCTTTCTGTAGTATCTGGAAGTGAACATTAGGACAGCTTTCAGCTCTATGGTGAGAAAGGAAATATCTTCAAATAAAAACTAGACAGAAGCATTCTCATAAACTTGTTTGTGAGGTGTGAACTCAGCTAACAGAGGTGGATCTTACTTTTGATAGAGCAGTTCTGAAAAACACTTTTTGTTGAATCTGCAAGTGGACATTTGGATACATTTGAAGATTTCGTTGGAAACGGGAATATCTTCATATCAAATCTAGACAGAAGCATTCTCAGAAACGTCTTTGCGATGTTTGCATTCAACTCATAGAGTTGCACATTCCGTTTCAGAGAGCAGCTTTGAGGCACTCTTTTTGTAGTATGTGCAAGTGGATATTTGGAGCCCTCTGAGGCCTACGGTGAAAAAGCAAATATCTTCCCATAACCACTAGACAGAAAACATTCTCAGAAACTCCTTTATGACGTATGCACTCACCTAACAGAGAAGAACCTTCCTTTTGACAGAGCAGTTTTGATACACTCTTTTTGTAGAATCTGCAAGTGGATATTTGGATACCTGTGAAGATTTCGTTGGAAACGGGAATATCTTCCTATAAAATCTAGACAGAAGCATTCTCAGAAACTGCTCTGTGATGTCTGCATTCAAGTCACAGAGTTGAACATTGCCTTTCATAGAGCAGGTTTGAAACGCTCTTTTTGTACTATATGGAAGTAGACGTTTCGGACGGTTTGAGGCCCATGGTGATAAAGGGAATATCTTCCCCTGCAAGCTAGAAAGAAGCATTCTGTGAAACTTGTTTGTGATGTGTGTACTTAACTAACAGAGTTGAACCTTTCTTTTTACAGAGCAGTGTTGAAACACTCTTTTTGTAGAATCTGCGAGGGGATATTTGGATAGATTTCAGGATTTCGTTGGAAACGGGAATATCTTCATATAAAATCTCGACAGAAGCATTCTCAGAAACTTCTTTGTGATATCTGCATTCAAGTCACAGAGTTGAATATTCCCTTCCACAGAGTAGGTTTGAAACACTCTTTTTGTAGTATCTGGAAGTGGACATTTGGAGCGCCTTGACGCCTACGGTGAAAAGGGAAATATCTTCCCATAAAAACTAGACAGAAGCAATCTCAGAATCTTCTTTGGGATATATGCACGCAGCTAACAGAGTTGAACCTTTCTATTGACAGAGCAGTTTTGAAACAGTCTTTCTGTGGAATCTGCAAGTGGATATTTGGATAGCTTGGAGGATTTCGTTGGAAACGGGATTAAGTATAAAAAGTATACAGCAGCATCCTCAGAAACTTCTTTGTGATGTGTGCATTCAAGTCACAGAGTTGAACATTCCCTTTCGTACAGCAGTTTTGAAACACTCTTTCTGTAGTATCTGGAAGTGAATATTAGGACAGCTTTCAGCTCTATGGTGAGAAAGGAAATATCTTCAAATAAAAACTAGACAGAAGCATTCTGATAAACTTGTTTGTGAAGTGTGAACTCAGCTAACAGAGGTGGATCTTTCTTTTGATAGAGCAGTTCTGAAAAACACTTTGTTGAATCTGCAAGTGGATATTTGGATAGATTTGAAGATTTCGTTGGAAACGGGAATATCTTCATATCAAATCTAGACAGAAGCATTCTCAGAAACGTCTTTGTGATGTTTGCATTCAACTCATAGAGTTGAACATTCCCTTCCAGAGAGTAGCTTTGAAGCACTCTTTTTGTAGCATGTGCAAGTGGACATTTGGAGCGCCCTGAGGCCTACGGGGAAAAAGAAAATATCTTCCCATAACCACTAGACAGAAACATTCTCAGAAACTCCTTTATGACGTATGCACTCAACTAACAGAAAAGAACCTTCCTTTTGACAGAGCAGTTTTGATACACTCTTTTTGTAGAATCTGCAAGTGGATATTAGGATAGCTGTGAAGATTTCGTTGGAAACGGGAATATCTTCCTATAAAATCTAGACAGAAGCATTCTCAGAAACTGCTCTGTGATGTCTGCATTCAAGTCACAGAGTTGAACATTGCCTTTCATAGAGCAGGTTTGAAACGCTCTTTTTGTAGTATATGGAAGTGGATGTTTCGGACGGTTGGAGGCCCATGGTGATAAAGGGAATATCTTCCCCTACAAGCTAGAAAGAAGCATTCTGTGAAACTTGTTTGTGATGTGTGTACTCAACTAACAGAGTTGAACCTTTCTTTTTACAGAGCAGTTTTGAAACACTCTTTTTGTAGAATCTGCGAGGGGATATTTGGATAGATTTCAGGATTTCGTTGGAAACGGAAATATCTTTATATAAAATCTCGACAGAAGCATTCTCAGAAACTTCTTTGTGATATGTGCATTCAAGTCACAGAGTTGAATATTCCCTTTCACAGAGTAGGTTTGAAACACTCTTTTTGTAGTATCTGGAAGTGGACATTTGGAGCGCCTTGACGCCTATGGTGAAAAGGGAAATATCTTCCCATAAAAACTAGACAGAAGCAATCTCAGAATCTTCTTTGGGATATATGCACGCAGCTAACAGAGTTGAACCTTTCTATTGACAGAGCAGTTTTGAAACAGTCTTTCTGTGGAAACTGCAAGTGGATATTTGGATAGCTTGGAGGATTTCGTTGGAAACGGGATTACGTATAAAAAGTAGACAGCAGCATCCTCAGAAACATCCTTGTGATGTGTGCATTCACGTCACAGAGTTGAACATTCCCTTTCGTACAGCAGTTTTGAAACACTGTTTCTGTAGTATCTGGAAGTGAACTTTAGGACAGCTTTCAGGTCTATAGTGAGAAAGGATATATCTTCAAATAAAAACTAGACAGAAGCATTCTGATAAACTTGTTTGTGAAGTGTGATCTCAGCTAACAGAGGTGGATCTTTCTTTTGATAGAGCAGTTCTGAAAAACACTTTGTTGAATCTGCAAGTGGACATTTGGATAGATTTCAAGATTTCGTTGGAAACGGGAATATCTTCATATCAAATCTAGACAGAAGCATTCTCAGAAACGTCTTTGTGATGTTTGCATTCAATTCATAGAGTTGAACATTCCGTTTCAGAGAGCAGCTTTGAGGCACTCTTTTTGTAGTATGTGCAAGTGGATATTTGGAGCGCTCTGAGGCCTAAGGTGAAAAAGCAAATATCTTCCCATAACCACTAGACAGAAACATTCTCAGAAACTTCTTTATGACGTAAGTACTCAACTAAAACAGAAGAACCTTCCTTTTGACAGAGCAGTTTTGATACACTCCATTGGAGAATCTGCAAGTGGATATTTGGATAGCTGTGAAGATTTCGTTGGAAACGGGAATACCTTCCTATAAAGTCTAGACAGAAGCATTCTCAGAAACTGCTCTGTGATGTCTGCATTCAAGTCACAGAGTTGAACATTGCCTTTCGTAGAGCAGGTTTGAAACGCTCTTTTTGTAGTATATGGAAGTGGATGTTTCGGACGGTTGGAGGCCCATGGTGATAAAGGGAATATCTTCCCCTACAAGCTAGAAAGAAGCATTCTGTGAAACTTGTTTGTGATGAGTGTACTCAACTAACAGAGTTGAACCTTTCTTTTTACAGAGCAGTTTTGAAACACTCTTTTTGTAGAATCTGCGAGGGGATATTTGGATACATTTCAGGATTTCGTTGGAAACGGGAATATCTTCATATAAAATCTCGACAGAAGCATCCTCAGAAACTTCTTTGTGATGTGTGCATTCAAGTCACAGAGTTGAATATTCCCTTTCACAGAGTAGGTTTGAAACACTCTTTTTGTAGTATCTGGAAGTGGACATTTGGAGCGCCTTGACACCTACGGTGAAGAGGGAAATATCTTCCCATAAAAACTAGACAGAAGCAATCTCAGAATCTTCTTTGGGATATATGCACGCAGCTAACAGAGTTGAACCTTTCTATTGACAGAGCAGTTTTGAAACAGTCTTTCTGTGGAATCTGCAAGTGGATATTTGGATAGCTTGGAGGATTTCGTTGGAAACGGGATTACGTATAAAAAGTAGACAGCAGCATCCTCAGAAACTTCTTTGTGATGTGTGCATTCAAGTCACAGAGTTGAACATTCCCTTTCGTACAGCAGTATTGAATCACTCTTTCTGTAGTATCTGGAAGTGAACATTAGGACAGCTTTCAGGTCTATGGTGAGAAAGGAAATATCTTCAAATAAAAACTAGACAGAAGCATTCTCATAAACTTGTTTGTGATGTGTGAACTCAGCTAACAGAGGTGGATCTTTCTTTTGATAGAGCAGTTCTGAAAAACACTTTTTGTTGAATCTGCAAGTGGACATTTGGATAGATTTGAAGATTTCGTTGGAAACGGGAATATCTTCATATCAAATCTAGACAGAAGCATTCTCAGAAACGTCTTTGTGATGTTTGCATTCAACCCATAGAGTTGAACATTCCCTTTCAGAGAGCAGCTTTGAAGCACTCTTTTTGTAGTATGTGCAAGGGGATATTTGGAGCGCTCTGAGGCCTAAGGTGAAAAAGCAAATATCTTCCCATAACCACTAGACAGAAACATTCTCAGAAACTCCTTTATGACGTATGCACTCACCTAACAGAGAAGAACCTTCCTTTTGACAGAGCAGTTTTGATACACTCTTTTTGTAGAATCTGCAAGTGGATATTTGGATAGCTGTGAAGATTTCGTTGGAAACGGGAATATCTTCCTATAAAATCTAGACAGAAGCATTCTCAGAAACTGCTCTGTGATGTCTGCATTCAAGTCACAGAGTTGAACATTGCCTTTCATAGAGCAGCTTTGAAACGCTCTTTTTGTAGTATATGGAAGTGGACGTTTCAGACGGTTTGAGGCCCATGGTGATAAAGGGAATATCTTCCCCTACAAGCTAGAAAGAAGCATTCTGTGAAACTTGTTTGTGATGTGTGTACTCAACTAACAGAGTTGAACCTTTCTTTTTACAGAGCACTTTTGAAACACTCTTTTTGTAGAATCTGCGAGGGGATATTTGGATACATTTCAGCATTTCGTTGGAAACGGGAATATCTTCATATAAAATCTCGACAGAAGCATTCTCAGAAACTTCTTTGTGATATCTGCATTCAAGTCACAGAGTTGAATATTCCCTTTCACAGAGTAGGTTTGAAACACTCTTTTTGTAGTATCTGGAAGTGGACATTTGGAGCGCCTTAACACCTACGGTGAAAAGAGAAATATCTTCCCATAAAAACTAGACAGAAGCAATCTCAGAATCTTCTTTGGGATATATGCACGCAAGCTAACAGAGTTGAACCTTTCTATTGACAGAGCAGTTTTGAAACAGTCTTTCTGTGGAATCTGCAAGTGGATATTTGGATAGCTTGGAGGATTTCGTTGGAAAAGGGATTACGTATAAAAAGTAGACAGCAGCATCCTCAGTAAACTTCTTTGTGATGTGTGCATTCAAGTCACATAGTTGAACATTCCCTTTCGTACAGCAGTTTTGAAACACTCTTTCTGTAGTATCTGGAAGTGAACATTAGGACAGCTTTCAGCTCTATGGTGAGAAAGGAAATATCTTCAAATAAAAACTAGACAGAAGCATTCTCATAAACTTGTTTGTGATGTGTGAACTCAGCTAACAGAGGTGGATCTTTCTTTTGATAGAGCAGTTCTGAAAAACACTTTTTGTTGAATCTGCAAGTGGACATTTGGATAGATTTGAAGATTTCGTTGGAAACGGGAATATCTTCATATCAAATCTATACAGAAGCATTCCCAGAAACGTCTTTGTGATGTTTGCATTCAACTCATAGAGTTGAACATTCCGTTTCAGAGAGCAGCTTTGAAGCACTCTTTTTGTAGCATGTGCAAGGGGATATTTGGAGAGCTCTGAGGCCTACGGTGAAAAAGCAAATATCTTCCCATAACCACTAGACAGAAACATTCTCAGAAACTCCTTTATGACGTATGTACTCAACTAACAGAGAAGAACCTTCCTTTTGACAGAGCAGTTTTGATACACTCTTTTTGTAGAATCTGCAAGTGGATATTTGGATAGCTGTGAAGATTTCGTTGGAAACGGGAATATCTTCCTATAAAATCTAGACAGAAGCATTCTCATAAACTGCTCTGTGATGTCTGCATTCAAGTCACAGAGTTGAACATTGCCTTTCATAGAGCAGGTTTGAAACGCTCTTTTTGTAGTATATGGAAGTAGACGTTTTGGACGGTTTGAGGCCCATGGTGATAAAGGGAATATCTTCCCCTACAAGCTAGAAAGAAGCATTCTGTGAAACTTGTTTGTGATGTGTGTACTCAACTAACAGAGTTGAACCTTTCTTTTTACAGAGCAGTTTTGAAACACTCTTTTTGTAGAATCTGCGAGGGGATATTTGGATAGATTTCAGGATTTCGTTGGAAACGGGAATATCTTCATATAAAATCTCGACAGAAGCATTCTCAGAAACTTCTTTGTGATATCTGCCTTCAAGTCACAGAGTTGAATATTCCCTTTCACAGAGTAGGTTTGAAACACTCTTTTTGTAGTATCTGGAAGTGGACATTTGGAACGCCTTGGCGCCTACGGTGAAAAGGTAAATATCTTCCCATAAAAACTAGACAGAAGCAATCTCAGAATCTTCTTTGGGATATATGCACGCAGCTAATAGAGTTGAACCTTTCTATTGACAGAGCAGTTTTGAAACAGTCTTTCTGTGGAATCTGCAAGTGGATATTTGGATAGCTTGGGGGATTTCGTTGGAAACGGGATTACGTATAAAAAGTAGACAGCAGCATCCTCAGAATCTTCCTTGTGATGTGTGCTTTCAAGTCACAGAGTTGAACATTCCCTTTCGTACAGCAGTTTTGAAAAACTCTTTCTGTAGTATCTGGAAGTGAACTTTAGGAGAGCTTTCAGGTCTATAGTGAGAAAGGATATATCTTCAAATAAAAACTAGACAGAAGCATTCTCATAAACTTGTTCGTGATGTGTGAACTCAGCTAACACACGTGGATCTTTCTTTTGATAGAGCAGTTCTGAAAAACACTTTGTTGAATCTGCAAGTGGACATTTGGATAGATTTGAAGATTTCGTTGGAAACGGGAATATCTTCATATCAAATCAAGACAGA